>NC_000004.12:113315320-113466835 GCF_000001405.40 Homo sapiens
CTTGAGAGTGGCAATTGAGACCTGATTGATTCTTTCAAAGTTTAGACCTTTGCAATCTGGCAGCCACGTCACAAGGTTTTATTTGAGGTACCATTATTTACCATTCAGTTTGTTCTCATTCAAGCTAAATTTTCATTTTCCCTTTGAGACCGGTGTTTCTGCTATTCCAGAAGACGGTTGAGCCCATAGAACAGCTGTATTAGAAACAGAAGAGGTTGGCTCCTCTACTATTTTCCCTTCCTTAGCCAAATTCAAAACAAAATAAAGGTGAATAGAATTTAAGAGTTGCTGATCTAGCCCGGGCATAGTGGCTCACGCCTGTAATCCCAGCACTTTGGGAGGCCAAGGTGGGCGGATCACGAGGTCAGGAGATCGAGACCATCCTGGCTAACACGGTGAAACCCTGTCTCTACTAAAAATACAAAAAAATTAGCCAGGCGTGGTGGCAGGCGCCTGTAGTCCCAGCTACTCGGGAGGCTGAGGCAGGAGAATGGTGAACCTGGGAGGCGGAGCTTGCACTGAGCCACGATCGCGCCACTGCACTCCAGCCTGGGTGACAGAGCGAGACTCCGTCTCAAAAAAAAAAAAAAAAAAAAAAAAAGAATTGCTGATCTCGTGCCACCTGGTACAAAACACATCCAAGTGGATCTTAGCTATCTTTGTGATTTACAGCAGGAAAACAAATTATCCATTCCACCAGCTGAGACAAGCTTTTGCTGAGATTAACCCTTTTCCCAATAATCTAATCCCCTATCAAAAGCTAAATGTAAAACCATCTGTAATATAAGTAGCCTCCAATTGCTGGAGCTAAAACTCTTGTTGATGAAATTACTAAGGCTCTGTCAAGAGCCTCAATCTTCTCCAAGAGCCTACATAACATAAAATAGTTAATTCTCAGGTTATATTTAGATTTTGTTTTATTGTAAACACAGATTTATGTATGTGTTAACGCAAGGATCAGACAATCAACTCTTTTTATTCATGTCATTTACCCTTTAAGACTTTTTTTGGAATATACCTACATGTAAAATAAGAAGGAGAAGGTCCTGGATTACTATGAATTACCTACAAAGTGATGATTTCCTCAAAGACAATTGATGCGGGCTATGTTGACACCTCATAGATATGATAGTACATGGCTTACAAAATTAAATATACTTGCAAAATGAAGATAGTTTCTACTAATAAATATGCTAATTTAACATTTAGTCCATAATTCTACAGTGCTTCACTGGCCAAACACCTACTAGCTAAAAGTAAATGAAAGTTTGCTTCTATAAATATTGTGAAAGCTTGCGTATCTCCTTTTTTTCCCTTATGGGCTTTGGGCTAATATTTTGAACACAGATCTTTAATACTTGAGCTACAGTGTATAAAATATAGCTTATTTAAGATACCAATCTGTCATTTGATTTTACAAATTGATTTAAAAGGAATGAGATTGCATCTATGCAAATGTCAAGTTTTACCTATTACATATGAGTGTGTAATTTAGAACTTTGAAGTTCAGATTTTTCAAAAATGTAATGCATGGTTTATCAAGGCCTAAATCCCATTTTGAAGCCAAACCTCATTTTTGGTCAGTGGCCATTGGCAATTTGTCTTTGTGCTGGCAGGTGTGTCTGTGTTCTGGGCTGGAGCTTAGATACAGTTTCTTGTGCTCATGCATCTCATCACCACGGCAACCAACACTCTGGTGCTTCAGTCACCACACACAGGACATGCAAAGGGGACAGTGCTCTCGTTTGAAATAATAGCATTGTTGGAGTCACTAGAGACAAACAAGAGGAACTCCACTTCCGCAGGAAGCATGCATCTGGCCACAGTTCATTTCACTCTGTACCTTCCAGGGGAATGCACCAACATTCAGTCATTCACAGTTTAGAGAGGAGGAGAAAGAGGCATAGAGAGAGAATGGAAAATAATAAGCGAAAATGAAACTGGGCTTTCATTTTGTTCTTCTCTCTGAGGGCCATCTACTTTCCTCCTTATATTTTTCTTAGTTGCAGAGAGATTAACATTTAACACAGATTTAAGCAATCTATCCTGGAATTATTTCCTGAGTGAATTTCTGGTACTGGCAGTAATAAACTACAGTTGCTGGTTTCAAACATTTCTGGGAAGAAAATGAATCAGATTAGGAGTATCAAATTTTAACTTCTGGATTCCCTTGTGCTCTTGCCATTGAGCGGTAGGAACCTGTCAAAGGATGTGTTAGTTCAGCTGTTGGACAAAAAGGTAGGACAACAGAGACTTGTGTCCCCCTGGAAGTTGTGCTGTTAGCTAATAGCACGCTTTTTTCACTCTCCTGCTCGGCTCATCATTTTGTCATCCCAACCCTGCTACTGCTGTTGGTATATGCCATGGCCTCCTGCCAACCTACCAGCCTTCGATCCTTCAGTTCCGACAGGTCTCACACTCTGAGCCATGCCTCCTACCTGAGGGACAGTGCCGTGATGGATGACTCAGTTGTGATTCCCAGTCACCAGGTATGTGACATTTTGCCTTCATGTCTTTGCTTTCTGGAGAGCTTTGTAACATTATTGGATGCTAGAAATGTCCTGAGAAAGTTTTTAATCCCCCCAAAATCATTCCCAATTCAGTTGAGAAGCTAGGATAAGAGATTTGAGGGTTTTCCTAAAACATGAAAAATGTTCACTAGATTTTTTCAATGAGCAGTGTTTTTCTGAAAAAGCATACTGCTTATTTCTTCAGCTATACTGAATTCTTCTGTGGAGATTATATATGAACATTATATTTTTAAAATAAAATCTCCATTAAAGGAAAAAGTGAAGTAGGATGCATTTAAGGTATAAGATGAATGGTACAGGTTAAGTTATATCTTTCAATATTTAAAATTGTTAGCTATGAGAAAGGCTTAAAATTTATTCTGGAATATTTTAATTTTAGTTATGATTTTATCACTTTTGGTGGATTGGGTATAGGGAAATAGATGGATACCTACTGTCTTCAAAGACAATTACACGAATGTAATCTTATATAATCTATTTAAATAATGCAGTTTAAAAGAGAATGCATTTTAAAAGATTCATTGTAAATACATTGGTTTTATATTTTAAGTGTAAGTTTTTCTAGGTTATACCACTTTCCAGTGATGACACTTTTTATATTTTGTTATATTTTACTTTAATTGAAGCAAAGTGTGTTTATTCAATCCAGTGTTCTTTGTGTTTAGGTGTCAACTCTAGCCAAGGAGGCAGAAAGGAATTCTTATCGCCTAAGCTGGGGCACTGAGAACTTAGACAACGTGGCTCTTTCTTCTAGTCCTATTCATTCAGGGTGAGTAAATCAATATTATGTATCCTGATCAAGAGGTAAAAAGAGATGGGAGTGAAAACAACAGCTTTGTCCAGTAGCTTTAGCTGGTGGCTAGCTTTACAGTGGAGGTGCCCTTTGTTTAAACTTGTAAATAACATTGCTTTATCCAACATGGACTCTATATCTACAACAACAAACCAGCAAAAAAGATTGAATTCAGCATTAAAAAAACTGACTATTGTTTTAAAACAACTAGTAGAATTGCGTCAAACAGCTTGCTACCTAACTGGAATATACTAGTGGCCTTCCTACTATTCACGTACTGTCTTTAAGACATCCTAAAAAGAGGGGCTGAATCATGTGATTTCTAGAAAGTTTCTATTTATTAGGATTAGCTGATTGGTTCAATGAAATAAATGCCTTTCTCAGATGCTAATGCATTTCAAATAATGTTACAGAAGCTTGAATCACACAAATATATAGAGGAGTTTATATATTGTTTGAAGTAGGGATATAAACAAAAAGGGAATTTGAACGCAATCAGTCAGGTTCTCAGTTATCTTTTTAAAGTCATTCAGAGAGTATACACACCACTGTTGAAGCAATGCTGCCTGTTTTTATTAACTCATTAAAAAATAGGAGTTTGAGTCATACTTTCAAACATACTTAAAGTTGTTCTTAAGGTGTTCAGTTATGTGGAATATAAATTCTTTAAGGAGTTTTAAATTGTAACACTCTTCCAATTTCTTCCTTACATATTAGTAGTTTGCAATAATATAGTAATATCATAATTATATATAAAATTTCTATTTTTTATTTAATTATTTTTAAAGCCCTATTTATATGCTATATATCAAAATGCAATATTTTGATTTTAATTATTATCCCCAAATCCTTATCCATAAATCCCAGAACTATTTGGAAAAGTAGATCCTTTCTTATTTTTATTATTCTAAAATATTCTTTATTCAGGAAAGAGTTCCAACATATTTTAGTTAAAAATTTTAGACTTCTTCAACTAATCTTATACTAAGTAAAGGTTCATACAATAACATAAGTTATATAGTTATTGAAAACAATCCTAATACTTTTTTCCTTGTTAAATAAGTAGAGGCTAGTTCCTAATGCGACAGTTATTCATGAGAATAAAAAACAAATTACACTTCATTCAAATTTACTTGCTTTTTTAAAAAAAGAAAGCTATAGATTACTAAAAAGATACAACATTGCATTCTGCTAATGAACTTCTTCACAGTGGTAAGAAGGAAAAAGACCTGGATGTAGAGTATTGTAGGATCATAGATAAGAATCTAGAAATCATAATGAGGTGTTTAAAGTTCATATGCAGCCTACAAAGTGATGAGATGGTTTTAGGTAAAATGTAATTGACTAATAATAACTGAATTTACACAAGAATCTGTGCATGCCAATACTTCAGTTTGCAAAATAAATCATTTATATTTTGAAAAAGGAACTTTTAAAAGAAGTTCTTTCATTACTGAAGGGCAGTAAAGTAGTCTAAGTACCTCAATTACACCCCAATTATGTACAACTAGATACACCTATAAGTAATTATGGTGCACTACTTATGATGAACCAACAGCATCCAGTAGTTAAAGATGAATTATGTGTTAAGATAAAGATCTTTAAATTCATAGTCTTTAATAAAACAGTTTTCCTATGAATCTCAAGCATTTAATACTGACTCTGGATAATTCTCAACTTTTGCTGTGCATTAGAATCACCTAGGAGCTTTAAAAAATACTAGTGCTGGCCAGGCGCAGTGGCTCACGCCTATAATCCCAGCACTCTGGGAGGACGAGGTGGACGGATCATGAGGTCAGGGGTTTGAGACAAGCCTGAACAACATGGTGAAACCTCATCTCTACTAAAAATACAAAAATTAGCCGGGCGTGGTGGTGGTGCACACCTGTAATCCCAGCTACTCAGGAGGGTGAGGCAGAAGAATCATTTGAACCCGGGAGGTGGTGGTTACAGCGAGCCTAGACTGCACCACTGCTCTCCAGCCTGGGTGACAGAGTGAGACTCCATCTCCAAAAAAAACAAAAACAAAAACAAAAAAAACTAGTGCCCAGGCCTCAACCCAGACCAATTATTTGGAGGCCTGGCATTGATACTGTCTACAAGCGCCAATAGTACAGTTGTTTTATATATAAACTGTTAGGAAAAACTTTGCTTAATAAGGCTTTGGTTATTAGAGAGACCTGGTTAATTAAGGTATACCTAGTTCTCTCAAATGTTCTTTATTTCTTCCATTCACTTATGTATTCATTCTTCACACATTTGTGTAATTCTATAAAGTACCTGACATTGTGCCAGGTACTAAGAAAAAAGCTAAGTAACATCTAGCCTCTGCCTTTAGAAACACACTCTATGTTGTTATTTAAAGTTAGAAGACACTTAATCTGTAAAGAGAGAGAAACATCGTGGTTAATAGTGTGCTTGGGAGTCAGACCTGTCAGAATTAAATCCTGACACTGACACTCGTATGTGACATCAGGCACAGTTATATAAAAATCTCTGAGTTTCAGTTTCCATATCTATAAGATGAGTGTTATATTATTGATCCCATAGGGGAGCTTTAATAGCTAATTACTTTTTAAATAATTAGCACTTTGCCTGGAAATAATAAGTGCTCAATAGATTATAGCTATTAGTATTTGTACAATCCCCATATACACATGTTCTAGATCTTTCACAAATTGCAAATCCATTAAGGAAAATGTATTATGACTCCTCTAAATGGCAGCGTCAATGTGGTTCAATTCACAATAGTAACGTTTGACTTACTGTTATTTTTATTCAGGCAAATTATTCTCTATTAGCGTCTCCAGTGTTTCAACAAACACAATGCATTTGATGACTCTAACAGAATGAGTTATTACTATTGAAAACTCAATGATTCTCAGTTTCCTGGTATTTGAAAGCTACCATGATATTAATGTATATGAGTAACACTCATCATACCATGTCATGTAGCAAGAGTTTTTTGTAATTTTATTCATTATACACCAGGTTCCTAAATAGTAGCTTTTATTTATTTTTTTTGAAGAACTTAGTTTTTCTTTAATTAATTGGGTGGATTCTTAAGCCACTTCAAGTTCTACCCAAAATGTAAGGAAAAAAAAAGGAGACGAAGTCTTACTCTGTCACCCAGGCTGGAGTGTGGTGGCACAATCTCAGCTCACTGCAACCTCCACCTCCCGGGTTCAAGTGATTCTCCTGCCTCAGCCTCCTGAGTAGCTGGTACTACAGGTGTGCACCACCATGCCCAGCTAATTTTTTGTATTTTTGGTAGAGACAGGGTTCGCCAGTTAGCCAGGCTGGTCTGGAATACCTGACCTCAGGTGATTCACCTGCCTTGGCCTCCCAAAGTGTTGGGTTTATAGGCGTGAACCACCGTGCCCAGCCAAAAAACAGATATTTTGATAGAGGTGATAATAAAGTTAGTTTTTTATGCACATGCCACTGATTTGTACATATAATGTTCTCTTAAATTTAATAAAGGGATTTTACATTAATAGAAGACACCGTTTCTACCAATAAGCAGTATTGGTGATTTTATTTTACCTCTATTTTATGTTTCCAGTGACTAATGTTCATAACTAGAGAACAATAGGTATCAGTGATTAAAAAATCAGTATCAGTGATTAAAAAATCAGTATCAGTATTAAAAAATCTGTTCTGCTCAATACACACAGCAAATACCTGGCAAAAGAAAGACTAACATTTGCTGTTTATTTTAAAGTGTTGTCTTCAGATTCACAATGACTCTAATCAACAGTTATTTCTAGCATCCTAGTCATGATCATAACAACATAATCTTGGGCAAGAATTTTAATTTTACAATTCTTCTTCATTTCATAAGTGCATAAGGAATTAGAAGATGTAAGACACAACTCTTAGCAGTAGCTAGCTTTGTAAGTCTTCTTAAATATTGTTATTAAAGGTCTTTAGTTTTTGTAGTGTTTTAATTACAGTCAAATGCCAACAATTAAATGTCAATTCATTAAAATGTCCTACACAGTCATACATTAACTGGAGGTCTGTAAGGTTGTCTTTTAAAGAACTTCTTTTCATAAAAACATGTTGAAGGCAATTTTGTTGTTTACCTAAAATTTCTCCAAAAATAAAGTCTATTTTAAAAATCATCTTGAAGGTATTCTCTCAAATAACGGGATATTTGAAATGCAAGGAAGTCAAGGCTCTCACTTGACAATATTAATGTTTATCTAATATGTACGGCAGTTAAGTTAGTTATTCATGTATTTCACAACAGCCTAGGGTTTTTTTTAGATACGTGAAGGTAAATTCTTTTAGATGAGGAAAGTTTTTTCATAATAAGTAGCAAAACAAGTGTTTAGTAAGGTTGGATTTCCGGTCCATTAAGCATGTATACTTTTGTATGTCATTAGGGTTGAAAACACAAGAGAATCTTGTGAAAGCTTATGGAGGGTTTTACGGAAGAGCAGACTCATAGGTAGAAGAAGAGTGAAAGGTAGAACTATAATGTGGGATTAGACATTATGACCACTGAGGAAGACAGCAATCTCCAAAGCAGGAAATGAAGTATTGACAAAAGCACCAAGACTTTGTTTGCATAGCTTTTTTTTGCGATACTCTAGTAGGTAATTGATATTACCTACCCCGCTTTATAGTTTATGCTACTGTTTGTTGTTGATCTATACTTTAAATTGTGCCTTTTCTTTTTGCATTTCTTCTGTGATAGCCCAAAAAGTTATTATCATTATTTTTAAAGTATTAAATGTATAAAACAAAAACCTTTGCGTCAAAACTGTGTCCATCAAATCAAAGACTTTATGTTTTTCATCATAATGACCCTTGATGTTTCTGTAGCTTCTTGGACACTCAGACTTTGTTAAACGCCCTCATAAGCCAATGTTGACCAAGGTTAAAAACCCATATCCAGTGATTTTATAATATCCCCAGTTCTCTAAACTGGGAGTTGCCACAAAGCCCCCATAACTTGCTCTTCTCGACCTATATCTCATTTGGATTTCCATTTGTTTTCAATGAATAAGGTATTGGTGTATAAATAATAAGTCACTTCTGAGTTCCTTCCTTATATTTCACTTTATCCGTTCCTTCTCTGTGCTAAAGTATCTATTCTGTTGCAGCCGCGCCTCTCCATGTCTTGAACGTGACAACAGCAGGTGAACTACTGCATAATTCTTTCTCTGAACATGTTGCCTATTCCTCTCCCCCTTTCGCCATCTCCTTCTGCATATTCCTTGCCTCAGGATGCTTTAGTGTGAAGATACCTAGCCAAAGAGATAGAAAGATTGATGTTCTCCAAATTGTGGCTATTGCTGAATTCCCCTTTCTCTGTGATGAAGAGAAAGTGGTATTTTTAATTTCAGTGGAAATAAAGTGGGGCTGTTCCAGACTTACTGTGGACTGCCTGTCTTGGTCATGGGTCTCCACATCTCCAGCTTCTTTTGTGAGAAAAAGTGCTACATAGAGATGAAAAATGTTGTTCCCTACAATTATGCAAATTGGTCAAGCTATTTTAGGGTTTTATTAAAGGTTATGATTTTAAGTGGCACTTAGCAGAGAGTTTTTTGTTGTTCTGGGTTTTATTTTAAATACCATATTCTAGGTGAGGCAAAGGCTGAAAGTGTATTAGTAGTGCATTTCCTTGCTAGTACTGCTATAAATGCAACCTTTTGATATTTTAGAAATTGTACTGTAGCATGACTAGTCAGTGTTCTAAAAATACCTGTTATTCTGTTATTTATTTAAAGTTATTTTTAAAGGTTCCTATTAGACTGCTAATTATAGTATTTTTATTATACAGCCATCCATTATGGTACTACAAATTATCAGTCTACAAAAAAGACAGTTTTGTGTTTTTATTTTTGAAAACTTTTATATACATCCTTATACTTTTTCTCAAATGCACGCTATTGTCTTTCCATACGTGAACACAGTGGTTGATAAATAATTGTTTGGTGATTTTAAAAAATTTGAACCACTTTTTTCAAAGCCATATCCAAGCAATTTTTAAGTTTATAGAATTTGGAGAATTAGGAAGGAATTAAGGGAATTACAGAGGAGAAAGAGCTCATGCAATGGTTTGTCTCACAGTACCTCAGAAATCGGATTTAATCTGAGGCCCTCTTGCTATGTATATGAGGATCACTGAAGCACTCTGATGATTTTTTTTCCTGTTCTTTCAACTAACTCTGAATGCTGCAATTTCCTCCCCATTCCCATCCCATGGTCCTCAAAGAATTAAAAATAAAACTAAAGGAATAGTAACTTTGGGGGTGGAGGATGTAGTCCTCAAATGACTGGATCATGGTTTTCTCCTGCCTCCTCTGAAGCATGTACTGTTTAGCTAATCAAATTGTGTATTTGTAGGCAAGTCATCTGCATAATAATGGTTGCTTTTGCTTTTATTCTTTTTAAATTGTGATAACATTGTATCTCACAATTTAGAAAACTTCAACAAGAGTTTCTACTTTGCATGATTGCTGAATTTCATTTGGAGAGTAAGAGATGCAATTAAAGCTGAGTGTTAACATGATATTTTTTGTATGTACAGTCTTAAGTCAATGTTTAGTGCAGTGTGTGTACACATTTTCTGCAAAACAGCTGTTTTAACCATAAAGCAAAAATGATATATATTTCCTGAAGTAATAGCAGTTTATTTTCCAATTAAGAATTCTTTCAGAGCATCTGAAATGAAAGGTTTAAGTAGGTTTCCTAACCTAGTTAACAGTAAACTGTGCATATAATTTTAATACTGGAAGGCAACTTAGAGTCTATTTAGTATAAGTCTCCCATTTTATGGATAAGAAAACTGAAATCTAAAGATGTTAAGTGACTTACCTGAGGTTACAACATTAATTCAAGATAGAGATATAACTAGACCCAGGGAAGAGCATGGTACTTGCTGCATTCTCCTGTGCTGTGTGATAATAGTATTTTTATATCTTATTTAAGTAAACTTCATAAACTAATAAAAACTTCATCATCATTTTAAACTACTTAGCATAGTTCCAGGTTCATTGTAGGTACTCAATAAAGGTTAGTTTCTCCATTTATTTTTCAAGTGGTATATTGTATTGTGTTTAAGATATTTAAAATATGTAAAATCCCGTAAGTGTAGAGAAAGGAAGATGATGGGAACAAGCATTTATTGAATTCCGTATGCTTTACCCACACAAGATTTCTCACTGTAACCTTAAGTGGTAACAGGATTATTTTTCATTGCCAGGTGAGGCTTCAATCTTAAAGATCATAGATGACAGGCAGAGCCATCAATCCATATTACTGCCTCCTCTAAACATATTTAATTATATGTTTTTACTTAAGTTATTTTCATCTCCAAATGTTTATGGGGATTATCTTGTCCCATTTTTAATCTCCTGCAAACATGAGAAAAATCACATTGATTCAGTCAACTCCAGTATGTGAACGACTCATCTCGCGACTCACACCTTCTAACCTTTCTCATTTCCCTGTGGTACATAAAAGTACGTTTGCTTACAATTTTTTTTATGCTTATTTGCAGTTGTTTTTTACGTGGTAGAATACCTGTCTCCTAACTCTACTACCTGTCCAAATAGTGGCACTTTTGGGTATTCTAATATTTTTAATGAAAATGCTCAGATGCTTACCCAATTTTATATTATCAACTGTTGGGATTCACTGATAAGCATACCTATTGTCAATAGACTTTTCATCAGCACCTAGCTATAAACTTGAGTTATTTTTCCTGTTCCTTCTTATTTAAAGAAAAGACTTCTTTTATTATGCAATTCTGTAAATTCAGCATTTTTATCAGTTGTTTGGCAATTCCATTATTTGAGTCTAATTTGTTTAGAGTATTTTCTTGCTAGATTTTATAAACAGTTTTACTCATTTTGACTATTAATATTTAGCTTTTTTATATCTTCCAATATTTTTATTTCTTTCTTGACATCTTTCTGTTTTACTTTCTTCTCTCTCTTCTCTTTCTCTTCTAAAGAAAATTTCCTCACTACAACTTGGTGGGTTTTTTTGGTTTGTGTTTCTTCCTTTAGTTACTTGATAAAAACACGAAGGCTTGTTTTCTTTAAAAATTTAATTTAGGCCAGGCACAGTAGCTCATACCTGTAATCCCAGCACTTTGGAACTCCAAGGCAGGAGGATTGCTTGAGCCTAGGAGTTCAAAACCAGCCTGAGCAACATAGGGAGACCCCATCTCTGAAAACAAACAAACAAACATTAGCCAGGTGCAATGATGCTGCCTGTATTCCCAGCTACTTGGGAGGCTAACATGGGAGGATCACTTGAGCCCCGAAGGTCAAGGTTACGGTGTGCTATGATAGCACCACTACACTCCAGCCTGGGTAATAGAGTAAGACCCTCTCTCAAGGAAAAAAAAATTGTTTTTTCTCTGAATTATGCATACTGGCACCTGAATTTTTCCAATTTGCTTTGGATTTTTGTGCAATACTTAAATATTACTTTCCAGGTTTACAATGACACAGAGATACTTATAGGTAAATTTATCTGCTTGCAGCTTCAGGCTTTAAAGTGCTATTATTTTGATTTTCCCATCTTTGGTCTTTCTTCATATAATTTTAACTTCTATTAAAATGGTTTATTTTGTTAAATTCAAACTTCTGGTTTTTGCTTACTCTCATTTTCTACTAGTCCTCTATCAAAGGAAATCAATGTATTAGGTCTCTCTATATACATTAGAGCAGGAATAAGCCTGTAGGAGAATATTTAACATTCAGGAGAGTCGTTCCCAACTGCTTTCCTACATCTGAATATAGTGATTCGAATGAATTCTGACTGCTCTGATTGTCCAGAGACTAAAGAATTAAATTTCCTCCTATGTTAGCCTTAGACATAAATATATACAGCTCCTCACGTCTTGCCCTTTTCACTAGGTTGTACATTCGCTTATTCAACAGTTATTTATTGACTGCCTGCTAAGTGCTCCATCCACACTGTGCCAGGCTCTAGAGGACACAGGAAGAAATATGGAGAACATGTTCACTGTTATTATGGCACTTTTATGGCTCCTATGTGTGGACTTAGTCATTTCTCAGTGACCAGGAAAGTAAGCAGTTCCAAGTAATGACGAAACCATCATGTGACATCTGGGGCTTACACCATGTACTTTGTGGCAGCAGCTGCTATGTCTTTACTTTCTGTATCCTCAGTTCTTAGCAGGGCACTTGACACTTAATAGGAGGGTAACAAATGTTGCATTGAAAGGAGCATAGAAACGGAACTATAGAGCAAGTGAGAACAAAAAGAGAGTTTCAAGAGACACAGTCAATGACACAATCAGGGCAAGTAATCTAACCTGTAGTTACTTAAACATTGTTACAGTCAGGAACTTAGCTACTTCAATTCACTCTTTAGAGAATGGGCCACCAGAAGATACTCTACATGTTCTTCCATCGAGGCTCCATGTTATATAGGCCATAAGCCATCACTGGAATAAATGTAGTGGAGAGGTTATAGCACACAACATGAGCGTGGAAACTTACTAAATGCCTTCAAAGGTATAAATAGTACTGAGGATTGATAACATTAAGCAGGTGTATTATAATAATTCCTTACTAGTTTGAGTTCCTGTCTGTGCACCAATGGAGGCAGCAACCAAAAGATGAAAAAAAAAACAAAGGAAATATTAATCTTAATTATCAGTGAGTCAAAAATATTGCAATGAATTTGGAAGTAGCACTAGTTGAAACTTGTCACTTTTTGCTACTTTTTCACAAAAACCAACCTAAGTATCCTACTCAAATAAGAACAATAAAATGGAAAGGAAAACTTTACATCTGTCTAGAAGTGTTACCAGTATTTTCATTCTTTTGAGCAACAAATAGTTCATTTAAAAGTCAAATAAAAAAAATTTTAAAGAATTCATACTGGAAGACTAGTAATAAGAAAAGTGGCAAATATTTTCTCATTATGTTTTGGTAAAGACCAGAAACATCAACACTTCAGTACTGAACTGTTGATTGTACTTCCCAGTTTTTACTCCTTCCTGAAAACTTTAAGCGGGCTAGGTATGAATGGAAGGTCTAGCCTGGCCCCTGCATGTGGGAAGGCCTGTGCTGCCTCTTGTGGTCTCATCCTGCATGACATGCTTCAGACAGGCACTCTGGGCTCCTTCGCACCCATTTTTATTACTAGCAACAGGATTTCTGTTTAATAGCATGTTTAATGAGTTCTGTGTTCCGCTTTGAAGAAGATGCTAAGATATTTTTCTTCATTTATCTAAAAATAACATAAATGTTTTGTGTTTATATCCCATAACTTACTTTGATAAAATACCTTTCAAATGTTTTAAATGTCGTGGAGGCAATATCTAGGTGGGACAAATCCAGTTGGTTCTGTGCTGAGCAGATTATAAGCAGAGACATGATACACCTGTATGTTGCTTTCCTCTTCCCATTTTGGTGTAAAGATCTTGCAAATGCAATGAAAATTTGAAAAGACACTAATGTAATTTGTGAAAGAGAGTACACACAGTTTGTATGTCTTTGTATACGTATACACAACACTTAGATTGCTGTGTTGTTTAATTTTTGCTCCTCGACACAGTAAGTGCCTGGGAGACTTTAATGAGTGTTAATACCAACCAAATGACAAGCATTCAAATTAACCTGGATCAGGATCTGCTAAGACCATCCCAAAGGAAACAACTTCAAAGTTAAGACAAACCCGTTCTCTTGGTACACTTAAAGAAACCAAGTCATCTTGGATTATAGTTCTCCTTTTTCATGAACAATTAACCTAGAAGAAAAGGAGAAAAATTAATAGGGATGCTGTTAACATTTCTAAATTATTAGCTATAATTTTTTACATTCAATTTATTACAATTTGAGAAAAATCATGATACAGATGATACAGATATCTTCCAGCAGCATGAGCCCAGGGTTTCCCACTCCTGAAATTTCACTTCAAAAATGGTGTATGGGCGGGCCTACTTGTTCCCTATCCACCTGCTGTTCATTTCAATTAGAATGGTATGGCAGAGAGATTCCTACTCAATAAGTTAAAAAGTACATTTTAACCAGCAAATTAAATTAGTTCAATTCAAAAGATTTAATTATTTTGCATTTCTCCTCCTTTAGAATATAATCAGTTAAAAATCTACATCCTGGGTAAGATGATGTTGGAACAGGATGCAGAAAAACTGCAATTTGGTCTTTCCTCTCTGCTTTGTCCTTGTATTATTTCAACATGTAGATTTTTTAGGATGTACACATAAGGAAGCAGAAGTCTTTCCATTTATAACAAAAGGAAACTTGTCAATTGTTCTTTATGTAATTTCATTCCATTTTCCTTCAAAATCAATTAGGCTTATTTTTAATTTACAGTTTATATTGAACATCACCATTGTCAGCAAAAATTAGAATTATTCTTTACAGATTAAAATAATATAAAAATTAGAACAACAACAAAACAGAATTAAAGGCATTGGTATAAAGTAAAATAACTTTTAAAAACAAGCATTTTACCACCATGCATTTAAATAAAAAAGAGAGATTTTGAGACAAAGCATTACGAAAAACAACTTGACAAAGCTTGTTCATCTGCCCCCAATATTTCAAAACATATCTAATCTTCTATTTTAATTTTTAGTTTCCTGGTTAGTTTTATGGTGGATGCCCGAGGTGGTGCTATGCGAGGATGCAGACACAATGGGCTCCGAATCATTATTCCACCTCGGAAATGTACTGCTCCAACGCGAGTCACCTGCCGACTGGTCAAGCGCCACAGACTGGCAACAATGCCTCCAATGGTGGAAGGAGAAGGCCTGGCCAGTCGCCTGATCGAAGTTGGACCTTCTGGTGCTCAGTTCCTTGGGTAAGGGTTTCTGATAAACCTCCCACTTAGTCATCGATGAGCTTGTGTCCTCTACATGAAATCACTAGGATGGAATGGAAAAAGGTACGTCAAACCATTTTGAAAGAGGATCAGCACCAATGACATTTTTAAAATTGGAAGTAGCACCTCAATGCTTGACTCCACTTACACGCCTCTTATTTTAAGGCATTAATGAGTTAAACATTCAGGTTGAATACCACTTCTTCTTTTTGGATGTTAATAATAGCTGCCAGACCCCCAATGTGAATAACCAGTATTTTAGCCGATGGTAGGTATTATTTTCTCATCTGAGAATTAAGTGGTAAAGTCACAAAGAAAAAATTCTGCTCTGTTCCAAGCATAAATGTAAATTCTCATACAGTTATGAAACAGAATCATTATCTTTACTTTGGAAAGCAATGTTGCCTTTACAGAATACCTACAAATTTAATCAATGTGATTTTTTTTTCAGCTATCAAAATTGCTACCTTGAGCCTTATCATTACATTGGCTATTTAGTCACAGTTTATATTAAGACAAATACATCAAGACTAGCTTCCACCGTGCTCGTTTTGGCAATTTTGAGCAGAATTTAGCATTTCTTCTTTCTTCTGTTTGTTTGTACGGCTGCTGTTATATTAAGTGGCATTTCATTGTGCCAAGAAATGAATAGCTACAGCTGAAATTAACAAAAGGATGAAGTTTTGGAGGGGGACAAGTTTCAAAATATTTTGAAACAAATCAATTGTATTTAAGTCTTGGTGCTTGAAATACTGGGAGAAAATCCTAATAATCGTGAACTCTTTTACTTTGCCGATGTCATATTGGGAAGAGGATTTCTTGCTTTAGAACTCAGGAAATGTTCTAAAGCTTTGTAATTTGGACCAAACTATTAGCAGATTGCTCCAAATTATGTTCACACCTGAAAAGGGGTGTGTTTATATTTCCCAATTATAGCAACCACTTCTCATGTCCTCCAGTCAGACAGACCAGAGCTTTACAAGGAGCCTGTGAAGTTCTGGGTTGCATCAGAAAATGCCATTATGTTTGGAGTAATTCCCCAATGATTCTTTTCATATTCTGTGTCAGACCCTGTTCCCCTCGTGCTCAGATAGTTTAGGCTTTTTAATAATCTTCAGATCTGTTGGGGAATATGCATGAAAACATCTGGCCTCTGTACAGGGCAGAGTTTTCATTATATTCCCAACAGCTTGTCTTTCTTGTGGAGCATTTTTTCCCCCTTTTTGGCTAGTGCCCTGGCGGTGAACCTAATTAGGGACAGACCGGACAGCTAAGTGCTCTCCTTGCACAGACGCGCCTCCATTGTACACTCTGGGTCTCGGTTCCTTGCTCTTTGTGACCAATGGAGGGGGCAGAACCAAACGCAGTGTGAAACCAAAGTTCACCCTGTGGATCAGCTGGCGACGCTGGGGTTCTGTGGAAGACAATACCTGAAGCTTACCTATGTTCTTTCTTTCACTGCTGCTTTGGATGTACTCAGTAAACTTCACCTGCCAACGGCTCCTCCCCCACTTAATGAGGGAGAAAGTTTGGTCAGCCGCATTCTTCAGCTGGGGCCTCCTGGAACCAAATTCCTTGGGTAGGAGTGACTTAAAACAAATTGATGGCTGCTGGCCCCCCATTCTTCTCCTTCTTCTGCAATATGATTTCTCTTTTTTGTCATTGTGCCCATGACATGTCCCTTTCTATGATTTAAATTCTGTATAACCTATCTTTAGTGGACCATTTCTGACCCTTGTGGTATGTGACTTTTATTTTTGAGTGATGTTTTTATATCTTTCCCCTTAAAGTGCTGTGACCTTCATTTTCGTTTAAGCATGAGATCTGCCTAGTTGTACTATGTGCTAGTTATGATGTTGTTATGATGAATTTGGAGTCTGTATCAAAGCAACCTGGACCCAAAAATCAAAACCCTCTACATATTTTGAGAACGAATGTGACCTAAAAATAATAGGGCAGTGCATGTTCCGGATCCTGAATATAATAGGCATTGGACACAATTGGGCTGTCTGCTGAGGGGCTCAATTAGGGCCACACTGTGTACACATGCCTATTGTTTCCTTGAATGAAGAAAATATAAGCAAAAACCACGAGTGCATGGCTCTTTAGTTCACAAGTAGTCAACTTTCTGACATCTCCTCATTTACGACACATCAAATTATGCAATGTGTGAGCCATTTTCCTCTTAAACCATTTCGTCATTTTGCACCTTGTCGAAAATGTTTTAGGAGATTGGCAGACATCATAGATATGCATGTACATTTCTTTTGGTTAAATGTGTTCTACTTACATTTATCAAAGGAGAAGTTCCAGAATGTCACATGCACTCACAGGGAAACATTATTTGGCTTAAGGTAGCAGCATGTACCTGAGGATTGGTGCCCCTGAGGTGGAGTGCTACTGTGTGACCATCTGCTAGCCAGTGGGCTCCAGGGGATGGCCCACTATGTCCCTGTCCCCAGCAAAAGAAGAATTCCAGGTCACTTTGCAACAGAGTCGAGGTGCTTGTCTTGCTGTTAGTTAGCTCCTGTCCACACTGAATGTTCTGCATTGCTATGTCAGGCCTGTGATCGTGGAGATCCCTCACTTTGCGGCCCTTCGAGGAAAGGAAAGGGAACTGGTGGTCCTGCGCAGTGAGAATGGGGACAGCTGGAAAGAGCATTTCTGTGACTACACTGAAGATGAATTGAATGAAATTCTTAACGGCATGGATGAAGGTACTTTCAGATGAAGCGTTTTAAAAGAAATCTAAACTGGAAGCATGAAAATGATTCATTTCTTTCTTATGACCTAGGGGTGTGTGTATATGTGTGTGTGTGTGTGTGTGTGTGTGTGTGTGTCCCTTGTGGTATTTTACTACAGCAGGTAATCTGCTTTGCTCCTGTAGTGATGAGTTGGAATGCACAATACTTTTGCTTAATTTTACTCCTGTTACATTCAGGAAAATAAAAGCCTTGAAGATATCAAACATCTCATTAAAGAGATGCAGCATGCTTCCATTTTTAGTGTAAACTTTTTTGAGCCGAAAATGAGATAGAATAGATATTGTTGCTTCATAACGAAATGAACTGATACTGGATAATAAATCCATGATTTAAAACAATGCCTAACTTGAAACATTAGATATTTAAGATACTGATAAAAAGTGTTAAGCTACTGTGTTGGAAAACTTACATCTACCCATAATTAGTAAGTTATAGAATACTATAATTTTTAAACTATTATTAAGGGGGTAGGAAAATTAAGTTCATTCAATTTCCTACCTATAATTCAAACAGGGAGTTAGCCAGGGTTGAATTGCATACACATACATACACATCTAGTTTAGGAACTTAGTTTTCCATTAGAACTTCAATTGCTGTAAATCTCAACTCTGTCTTGGACTGCACAAGGTTGTAATATCTCAGTATGAAAAGAGGAAAGCGGCTCTTCCTCAGGTCTCCATAGTTTGCACAGAGAAAAGGTCCTAGACCTAATAGTAGAATTCACATTCAACTTTAAGTAACTACACAAATAGGGCAAGTTCTTTGCCTGCATGCCAGGAACATACCAAGTTTTGTATACAGCTAGACACTCAAGAGCAAGTATAGCTGTTTATCAAGTTCTTGAGTCTTCTGGCACTAGTTTCAGATATGGCTTATGGATAGGAAAGAGTAGCCTGACCATCGCTTCTTTACCATTTCTTTCTACATCCTACCACGGTTTGAATAAGAATAGAGGCCAGGCTTATCTTATCCAAGGGGTGGATGGAGGAAGAAATTATGCCCTCTAGATATGTTAAGTCAATATCTTCTAAGCAAAGAAAAAAATCAGGGTTTTTATTAATAAAAATTGTTCCCTACAATATTTAGCTGCTTCTACTTCTTGGAACCATTCCTTTTGCTGACATTTAGGTTTAGGATATTTTCCTCTGAGATATTTACCTATCAATGACACTGCCAGTGAGCATTGGTATCTTGCCCTTGGATGGGGACCCACTCTTTAACTTTATTTATTTAAAAATGAGCTTTTTACATGGGTATTAATAGAAAGTTAATAGATTAATTAATCTATTACTAGAAAGTTAATAGATTAATTAATCTATTACTAGAAAGTTAATAGATTAATTAATCTATTACTAGAAAGTTAATAGATTAATTAATCTATTACTAGAAGGTTAATAGATTAATTAATCTATTACTAGAAAGTTAATAGATTAATTAATCTATTACTAGAAAGTTAATAGATTAATTAATCTATTACTAGAAAGTTAATAGATTAATTAATCTATTACTAGAAAGTTAATAGATTAATTAATCTATTACTAGAAAGTTAATAGATTAATTAATCTATTACTAGAAAGTTAATAGATTAATTAATCTATTACTAGAAAGTTAAAGATTTGTGTATGTCTGGAAATTTTAAAAATAAATATAGGCTAGTATTTGCCAGTGCATCAGTCTTCAATCATGTGGAATCAGATCCTGGGACTTTTTACTTTTACTATCTAGCTATGCCCAATAATCAAGAAAAACGTAGTTGCTGTTCCTGCCTCTATAATGAATTGTAAATGATTTCTAAAAATGAACAACTTTCCATCACCTCTTAAAATTCAGTGATCTATATAGTGCACATTTTCTAAATTTAAACTAGTTTGATTTTTTTTGTATTGCCCTGAATATCTACACTAATGCAATTTATAAAGAACCCATGATCCCATCCTCTTGATGTTAAATGTTATTTTTGGAAATTTAATGGCATCAGGGGAATATTGAAACCCTGAATTCCTAATCACTGATTTTTTAATATCCACAGTGAGTACCTCAGACACAACCCTTCCACTGGAGTAAACTCATAAACATGACTCTTACTCTTCCAAGATAGATTTTATTCCTGCATTATTCCCCTGAAAACCCAAAGGGCTATGTTACTTCTTAAAACCACAATAACTTGGATTTGAGCTAACTTTGAAATTTGCAAAGAAAAGGAGCCCAGAAACAACTTCCTTTCCATCACATGAACCAGGAATAGAACACGTTCATTTCATTCCATATTTGCCCTCATGCCTCTCATTTCAAAGGTGGCCCTGCAATGCTGCACCTAGAACTAAATGTTTATCTTTCTCAGTGACCTGGAAAGTCACTGAGAAGAAAGGAAACATGCAAGCTAAATGCTGACAGATCTTGAAATATTGCAATTTTTTGTTTTCTGGTGTTGTTAGGATAGCCTTGCTTTTTAAAATTGTCCTGTTGTTTCAAAAAAATGTGTTTTGCTGGCACTTCTGTTCATTATTAACCGAGCGAATGAGTTGGCTAGAATGCTGTTAGAAGGAAATCTTTGCTATGTGAATGAAGGTGGGTCATTTCTTGTCTTAGTACTGGATAGCCCAGAAGACCTAGAAAAGAAACGAATCTGCCGCATCATCACCCGAGACTTCCCACAGTACTTTGCAGTGGTGTCTCGTATCAAACAGGACAGCAATCTGATTGGCCCAGAAGGAGGTGTACTGAGCAGCACAGTGGTGCCCCAGGTGCAGGCCGTCTTCCCAGAGGGGGCACTCACCAAGCGGATCCGCGTAGGCCTGCAGGTATGCCCATGTTAGATGCAAATGATCCTAACAGGATTGTATTCTAATGATTAAAAATTAGCTTTGTCAAGGACTGTTACCTTTGTTTTATAATCACACCAAAAAGGAAGGTAGCATTAATGGTAAAGCTAAAGTCAAAATCCATATTTATTGGTTACTAATCTATTTAAAAATTCAACTTATATTTGGACAATTAACCAAAATTAATCTCCAGCTACAAATGTTTTCTTCTTGTAAAAAAAAAAAAAAGAAATTAGCTTTTAAATGAGAAATAAATTGTTAAAGAATCAGATTATTCCTAGTAAGCAAGAGCTGCCATCAGAGATCGTGGATCTTACAAAATTTTATGAGTGCTTAGTAATAATACTGAACTTATGATTGCCATATTTGAAGCCCACCAAACTTATTTGTAAGATAAAAAATACTTTGGGGAAGAAATTTGAAATTAAGTATAATGATTCATTCTTTATTTTAAAATATATACACAAATATATATGTGTGTGTTTTTACTTTGAAAAGGCTCAACCTATGCACAGTGAGCTGGTTAAGAAGATCCTAGGCAACAAAGCTACCTTCAGCCCTATAGTCACTTTGGAACCTAGAAGAAGAAAATTCCACAAACCAATTACCATGACCATTCCTGTCCCCAAAGCTTCAAGTGATGTCATGTTGAATGGTTTTGGGGGAGATGCACCAACCTTAAGATTACTATGCAGCATAACAGGTGAGTCACATATGACTGTGTTCGTAGAGAGTTCTGAAAAAAGAAACTTAGATCGTTGTAAATATTAAATTACCTTTGTCATAAGATGTCTGCAGGGTCATATGCATTAATTCAGGGAATACATTTTAATTAACTAGGGAAATGAAAGGTGAAAGGAAACAACTATTATTTACTAAATGAAGTCTGTATGCCAAACTGTTAGATAGTTTATATGCGTTGTCATTCTAATCTCCACAGTAACCCTGTGAGGAAACTTTAACCCCGTGTTGCTGAGAAGGAAACCATGGTTGAAAGAAGTTCTATAACTTGCACTATAAATATTTGGTGGTGTTGGGATTCAAAACCACACCCATATGTCTCCAAAGTTCAGGCTTCAAGCCTTCATTGAAGAGATCACTAAATCTGCTGGGAAAAAAAATACTGTCTTGAGTAATTATACCCAATAGTTCAAACCAAACTGTTATGTTATGGAATTGGTTATGTCTTTATCATTGATCTATTGAACTAACTTTAGAAAAACAACTTAAAGGTTTTCAGTGATTAACTGATTTTTGGTCTTTTCAATTGTGGTTGTGTAGTCGCTTTCAGACAGCTACCAAACTCTCCAAAGACACTCCCAGAACGTTGGTAGTCTCTTCATAACAATGCCATCACAAATAGTGAGAGGCAAAAAAATTCACATGAATAATCTGTTCTAGGGCTAAATAATTTAACTGATAATTTCTCTATCAATAATTACATGGTGTTGGTATTCAGTAAATATTAGTACTATTATTAGTAGGAACAGTAATCATCCCTGGATGTTTTTGTATTGTTAGAATTATTATTTTCATTTCTCTTTCATATTGGCAGAATGTTCACCTTTATTTTGTTTTCTTTAATTCACCCTTCTTACTCGTATGTTTCTTGTAGTTATGATAGAGAACCACGAGATTATTCCATAAGTTTAATAATAATGAGTGGGGGGAAATCATATGCTTCACTTATGATCTCTTTCCCAGTTGCTCATTTTTGGTTATTGCTATCATTTCTGGGTATCTTTCCCATAATTCCAGCCCCGTAGATATATGATTAACCTTCTATAATGTGCAATATAATGTCATGGATGTGAAATAGGTGAGGCAGAAGAATATCTGTGATACGCTCTGCCCTTATAGTGATTAAATAAACACTCTAGGGGCCTAAACACCATCTACTCTATTTATTCCAGCACAATGTCTTTAGACAGGTTTCTCATAAACATTTCTGAAATTTAATTAAAATTATTTTAAAAATTAACAAATAATTTAATGTATTAATTGTTTAAATACCTAGATATTTGAGTCTTTGTATTTTTCTGTGTCATGTAGTTATGCTGAGTATGTATTTTAAAGGCCTACTAGAATAAACTTCCATAAACTTTCTTTGATAACTTGTTCTCTTCTTTAAGAAACTTTAGAGTCAAGACTTTTCTTCATTTCAAACATATATTCCTCCTACAGCCCTTTGAACTAAAATTTTGTCCTTATCTATGTGATCTTAATTTCTCAGTAGACATGAAAGACAGGTAGTCACCATTAGCCTTCATGGTAGTTTTTCAATGTACAGGGGCCATCCTTTGATATTCATTTATTTTTTCATTTACCTTGCAATATTTATTGAGCTCTTACTATTTCACAAACATTTTTTGGCTAAACTTTTATTGCACATCGAGAGGAACTTTTTTGAAAACAATTTCATAAAATATGAAGTTTAAGAACAAAAGAATATTTAGATTGTTCACTTTTTTTTTTTTTTTTTTTTTTTTGAGACGGAGTCTTGCTCTGTCGCCCAGGCTGGAGTGCAGTGGCACAATCTCGGCTCACTGCAAGCTCCACCTCCTGGGTTCACGCCATTCTCCTGCCTCAGCCTCCCTAGTAGCTGGGACTACAGGTGCCCACCACTATGCCCGGCTAATTTTTTGTATTTTTAGTAGAGATGGGGTTTCACCGTGTTAGCCAGGATGGTCTTGATCTCCTGACCTTGTGACCCGCCCACCTCAGCCTCCCAAAGTGCTGGGATTACAGGCATGAGTCACCGCGCCCGGCCGATTGTTCACTGTTTTAACAAACTGTTCAGCTCCTTAGGTGGTCAAAGGATATTTAAAAATAATCAGCTGTATACAATTCAAAATTATCTTCAGAGCCTTGCAATTATAATAAAAGCTTCAGAATGTCAGGAAGAGAACAGAAGGCTTAATAAACACTTATTCAAATAACTACCCTAAAACTTAGTTTCTTGAGTGGTAGTCTGCTGTTTGTTTTCAGTGTGTCATTTTTTAGCATGTAGATTTTAGTCATTTTGTTTTCAATGTGCCATTTTGAGGGGTGGGATTTGGCTTGTGAACACAGAACCACAAAGACTTTATTTTAGAATCTAGAGTCTGGAGTTTTGCCTGATTTTTTTCAACAATCATATTATTTCAGGTGGAACCACCCCTGCCCAGTGGGAAGATATTACAGGAACTACGCCATTAACATTTGTCAATGAATGTGTTTCCTTTACAACAAACGTGTCTGCCAGGTATCGTTATATAGCACAGAAAAGCCCACTATGATATGTTACCCTCCAAAAAAACTGCCCTTTGTTTTATTTTGTTTCTTTATTGTTTAAAAGTTATTTTTTCATTGGATTTTAAATATGGTCTGCCTTTGCTTTTATATTTTAAACTAGATCTGTCAGCAAGTGGAATAGTGATAATACAGTAACAAAGTATTACCAATCCGATTAAAATCTAAGGAAAAGGAGCGATTGTCTGCTTTGCCTGTATGATTCTGACTTAGTCAGTAGCAGCTGCTGCTTTTTCCACTTCCAAAGTCCTTAGGAATGATAATTTCCTGTTGTCAGCAAAATAGCCTGAACTACTTTTCCAACAGAATGATAACAGCACAAATCTCACCGTGGTTTGTCTAAAAGGCTTAGAGGCTTCAGTGGCTCTTATATACATTTCTTATTTATGTATTACATATCTTTAAAACGATGAAGCTATCTAGTTTTATTGCTTATGCACACAATAACTCAATTGATTAAAGTTAGCTCCCATTCCTTTGATCTTTAATTGATTGCTAAGCATTGTTACCTCTCTTTAACTTGACATTACAACTTTGTGACTTAAGTAGGGCAAGAGACATTATGTCCATTTTACAGATGAGAAAACTGAAGTTGAGAGTAATTAAAACGTACATTTCTATTTGGGGTGGAGGAGAAAACATAAAAGTGCATGAATAGTTAAGTAATGGCATAGCAATAGTTGGGTGTGGTGGCACATGTTTATAGTTCCAGCCACCCAGAGGCTCAACTATTGAGTCCGCAGTTCTGTGTTTCAATGTGTTTTGCCAATTTAGCATCTATACTGTAATCCAGAAGATGACATGTTCTGAATAAGAGATATAGACCAGAGGGACTAAAAGAATGAGAGAAGGGTGTTCGAATTGGGATAGCTAGAGAGGGTATCTGAGAAGAGGTGACTCGAGACATGTGTTGGAACCTAATAGGCAGATAAAAGTGAAAAAGAGAATAACATGAGCAAAGATGCAAAGATAGAATGAGAAGGTGTAGTGGGGGATAGCAACAATTATCCATGTAGTCTATAATTCAAAAATAATACTTGAGGCTGGGCCTGGTGGCTCATGCCTGTAATCCCAGCACTTTGGGAGGCCAAGACAGGTGGATTGCTTGAGCCCAGGAGTTCAAGACTAGCTTGGGCAACATGGTGAAACCCTGTCTCTCACAAAAAAGATACAAAAATTAGCTGGACATGGTGGCACACACCTGTAGTCCTAGGAACCAGGGAGGTTGAGGCGGGAGGATCTCTTGAGCCCAGAGAGGTCGAGGCTGCAGTGAGCCGTGATTGCGTCACTGCACTCCAGCCTGGGCGACAGAGACGTTGTCTCAAAAACAAAACAAAGCAAAAAACAAACAAACAAAAAACAAACAAACAAAATCTAGGACTGTTGGTTGCCAACACTTTATAAAAGGTCTTACAGGGTAGATTAAGAAGTGATAAATCACTGCACTCCAGCCTGGGCGACAGAGCGAGACAACGTCTCAAAAAAAAAAAAAAGAAAAACAAACAAAAAAAACAAACCCTTTGGAAGTATAAAATAACAAAATGAAAATATTTCCATCTAATGACCTCGACTTTCTTTGTGAAGTTAGCTCTCTTAGGGCCTGTGGTGAGGGATGAAGCTTAAAGAGTGTCATAAGATTTAGTAACGTTACCATAGTGAACAAAAAATTGCCAGTCAATGTCACAGACTTAGTTGAGGCTGGAAATCATAAAGTCATTATAGCCAATAATTTCTTCTATGAATTATATTCAGCAATACTTAGGAGTTCTGGAGCAGGTTTTTTAAAATGGTTGGGTTGATTCCACTTTGGTGATTAGAGTTCCATGGAAAAGAATAACGAGGGGAGGAAAAGCTGGGTAGATTTTGTTGAAAAGAGTTTCAGGAAATGAAATGACAGCTAGGGAGGGGGGATCAAGGAAAATAGAAAACTATGCAGTGAGATCCTTGTCTTATGTCTGCTATTGAGTTCACTCCACTAAAGGATTCCAAAACACTAAATATATAGTTCAGAAAACTGAATATTCAGAAGAGTTTCCAAAAAAGAAAATTAGAAATACAGTATTTAATAGTTGATCTTAAACCTGATATCTTTCTCTCTTCTCTTCACTCCCTTCTGCTTTCCCTTCTTTCCTCCTACCTTTCCTTTTGTTCCTGTCTTGCTATTTCTTTCCTTTGGCCTTCTCTCATTATCTCCCTCTCTCACTTCCTTTTTTCCAAGAAGCATTTGTTGACTACTTTGATCATATTGAAGGAACTGATTTTATTTTTCACATGGTATACTTTGAACTTTAGATAACTGACTTTATTTATTTTAATAGGTTCTGGCTGATAGATTGTCGACAGATCCAGGAATCCGTTACTTTTGCATCACAAGTATACAGAGAAATTATCTGCGTACCTTATATGGCCAAATTTGTAGTGTTTGCCAAATCACATGACCCCATTGAAGCCAGGTTGAGGTGTTTCTGCATGACTGATGATAAAGTGGATAAGACCCTTGAACAACAAGAAAATTTTGCTGAGGTGGCCAGAAGCAGGGATGTGGAGGTACTGTACCAAAAATAATAATAATAATTTATGCCATGTTGTTATACCTGCATTAATAGATTACATTTCAAATATCATTTAATAAATAGAATAATTAAAAAGTGAAAGACAAGTTCGCATTTTGGTCAGTTAGAAGGTCAACATCCAAAATCTGCCATTTTTAGCCATTTTGGACCTATTCAATAGGAATGATCTGTGCATGTGAGAAGGTAAGATGATTCCTTTAAAGATTATTTGAGGAAAAATTATGAGTTATTGATAAACTCAAAGTATGTAAGTGACTGTAGTACTTTAGATGTTTTTAGCTTTCCTTGTTGTCCTTATTTTTTAATAGTAACTAAAACAGTCTGGGAAGTATATCTTTTTGCATAAATGTTGAAGCAGGGTGTCTAGTGCTTTTCTACATTACTTTTTCTTATTTCAGAATTTTCCATCAGTGTAGGTCTTTGGGTGTTGAAGTCCAGTAACCTGACTCATTGTGATGTCAAAAGTTACCCAAGCAGGCCAGGTGTGGTGGTTCACGCCTGTATTCCCAGCACTTTGGGAGGCCGAGGTGGGTGGATCATCTGAGGTCACCAGTTCGAGACCAACCTGGCCAACATGGCAAAACCCTATCTCTACTAAAAATACAAAATTAGCTGGGCGTGGTGGCAGATGCCTGTAATCCCAGCTACTCAGGAGGCAGAGGCAGGAGAATTGCTTGAACCCGGGAGGCGGAGGTTGCAGTGAGCCAAGATCGCACCACTGCACTCCAGCCTGGGCAACAGAGTGAGACTCCGTCTCAAAAAAAAAAAAAAATTACCCAAGCATAAGTTTAAATTTAGGATTTAAATGTATTTTGGGGTTGTGGAATAATGGGATACACTTTTTGGAATGAGAACATTAAATGTCACCATGCATTAAAGATTCCCATTACTAGTAAGAAGAAAGAGTGCTGGACATGCTGTGTCACAGATAGACAGAATGTCAGTTGTCAATTTAAAGATGGTTGTATGTGTATTATAAGAATTTGAAGTTCCAAGTAGTACTACCACTTCTTTGTGTAAACAACAAGTATAATTGCAGCTACTTTATTGTTATTTCTCTCTGTTTTCACTCAGGTGTTAGAAGGAAAACCCATCTACGTTGATTGTTTCGGCAACTTGGTACCATTAACTAAAAGTGGCCAGCATCATATATTCAGTTTTTTTGCCTTCAAAGAAAATAGACTTCCTCTATTTGTCAAGGTAATATATACATGGAATTTTGTGATGCATTTTTTTCAAGATCAAGGCAGAATTTGACTTCCTTTAGTAATAGAAAATTTTCGCTTTTCAGTCATCTTCAGAGTTTTCTTTTTAACCATATTTGTAACGTTTTACAGCCCTGGGAAACAAATCATTTTTATTTTTGAGGTTCAAAGTCAACCTGAATTTTTATAGACTATATTTAAGGATGAGAACAGGACAAATAATAGCCAACTCATTAATTAGGCACAGTGACCGGTATTTTCCAAATTTGAAGGAAAGCTTATTTATCTATTATAACTTTTAAATATTTATGCTTAGATTTAAAAATACACGTGAACTTCACAAGTGTGGAGATCAAAAGAGTTCTAAGTGGCAACTTTTTGTAATAAAATCTCTCAAAAGACCCAGCATCTCACTTAAGCTAGTAAATTATCTGCAATAGAGCTATAGACTTGATATATTTTCATAAATTCATTCAATAAACAGCATGGAGACATTTGTGTGCACCAGGTGTTTGTTGTCTCTAAACAGAGACCAAGTTAGGGATTTGAGGTGATATATGCAAGTTTCATTTTAGATTCCAATCTAAAAGGGACCACATATGAAGGAATAAGAGATTCAGGAAATAAAAAGGAGGTAATAATTCTACTCTGCATTATTTTCCAAGCTCATTTTTCTTCTTGTTTCTCACAATTTATTTCACTAATCCAGAGGTCCTAACGCTCAATCCTCTTAGGTATAGGCTGGCTTCTGTCGTTTTTTTTCCAATCCTACTTCACCTACTCATTTCCAACTGTTCATCAGCAATGACTCTTTTTATTTTAACCACTTATTATTTTTCCAAACATGTGTCTGCAAACCTCTTATTAAGTTTTTCCAAGATCTCTGCTGAGTCTCTTTCATTGTGCCATTTCTGGTTCAATTGTTTTGCCTGACTGATGATAGATTCTTACAGATCACCACATTAAGCAGTAACTGCTCAGAGGTAATGGATCCATTTAACATAGACAGCTATATAATTAAGCTAATGTTTGACATCATTGGTGTGCAGAATCATTCTACAAACAACCCAATACAAAATGAGGGAAGTGCTTCAGTAGACATTTCTCCAAAGAAGATACACAGATGGTCAATAAGCATATGAAGAGATGTTCAACAGCGTAGGGAAATGCAAATCAAAACTGTGAAGAGATACCACTCCATACCCATTAGGATGGCTATTATTACAACAAACAAACAGAAAATAAACAAATGTTGGGAAGGATGTGGACGAATTGGGGCCCTAATGCATTGCTGGTGGAAATGCAAAATAGTGCAGCGACTTTGGAAAACACTATGGTTTTTCCTCAAAAAGTTAAACATAAAATTAGTATATGATTCAGCAATTTACTTCTCGATGTACACCCACAAGAATTTAAAGTAGAGACTCAATTACTTGCACACCAATGTTCTTAGCAGCATTAGCCATGGTAGCCAAAATGGAAACAACCCAAAAGTCCAAAGGTCCACAAACAAAATGCGGTATACACATGCAATGGAATACTATTCAGCCTTTAAAAGGAAGGAAATTCTAGTTTATGCTGCAATATGGTAAATGAAATAAGCTAGACACAAAAGGACAAATATTGTATGGTTTCACTTATATGAGGTACCTAGGGTAGTCAAATTCATAAAGAGAGAAAGCATTTGTTTTTATTTATTTTTTTGACCTCTCCTCGAAGTGAAATAAAGATAGAAAGTAGAAGAGTGGTTGCTAGGGACAGGAGAAGTGAAGAATGGGGAATTATTGTTTAATAGATACAGAATTTCAGTTAGGAAGATTAACAAGTTCTAAAGATGGAAGGTAGTGATGATTATACAACAATGTGAATGTACTTAATGCCACCAAACTAGACACCTTTTTAGGTTTAATCATTTTTATGATTAAAATGATACGTTTTATGTTACATATATTTATCACAATTTTTTAAAAAAGGAATGAAATTCTGACACATGATGCAATATGAATGAACTTGGAAAACATTACGCTGAGTAAAATAAGCCAGACACAAATACTATATGGTTCCTCCATTTCTACATGTTCCTAGAATAGGCAAACGTATAGAGACAGAAAGTAGAATAGAGGTTATTAGGGGCTGGGCAAGAGGGCAATGGGGAGCTATTGTTCAATGGGGACAGTTTCGGCATAGGATGAAAAACATTCTGGATAGAAGTAATGATTATACAACTTTGTGAATGTGCTTAATGCCACTGAATTTTCTACCTCAAAATAGTAAAAATGGTAAACTGTATGTTATGTATATTTTACCATAATTATTTTAAAAGCTGAGTAAGTTCTGAAGATCTAATATACAGCATTAAACTATAGTTAATTGTATGTAATGTATTATATACTTGAAATTTGCTAAGAGATCTCAAGTGTTCTCACCACAAAAAAGGGGGATGAGGTGATTGATATGTTAATTAATTTGATACGCTAATCATTTCACAATGTATACATATATCAAATCATCACATTGTACACCTTAAATATATGCAATTTTTGTCTACCATACTTAAATAAGACTAAAAAAGAAAGCTGAATGATTTTTAAAAAGGCTTTCCAAATGGTAATAGGAAAAGAGAAAGGAAATCCTTTGAGTTCTTACCTAGCAGTAACAAATGAATTTTACTTTTCCCTTTCAAGCATCATCTAGTTAAAGTAAATACTGCAAATCAAATGTGGGTGAAGCATGTATGTCTTTCTTGTTCAAGGTACGCGATACGACTCAGGAACCTTGCGGACGACTATCATTTATGAAGGAGCCAAAATCCACGAGAGGCCTGGTGCATCAAGCTATTTGCAACTTAAACATCACTTTGCCGATTTATACAAAGGTATCGTAAAATCTGCTATAGTGCAATTCAGGTAGAGTAGGAATTGATTTTTAAATCTTGTTTTAGGTCAGTGCAAAAGTAATGGCAAAAACAGCAATTGCTTTTGCACTGACCTAATAAAATGAATACCAACAAAGACTGATTGAAAGCATGTGTAATAATCACGTTTGATTCTCTGTCAGATTTACGATTTCCACTTAAGAAAAAACGTAGTGCCACCTGATTTCATGTTAAATGCACTTTGATGCAAAAATTCTATTAATACACATTGGGCATGGAAGTAAGAAAATTTGGCTTCAGATTTAACTTTTTGAAGAAATTTTTAAAACTAATTGGCTTTTCTTCATTATTGTTTTCATGTGCTTTCCTGCGACCATACTCGTGCATTTGGCCCTATGAAAATATTAGAGTTCATCACCTTCTGTTTACTACCAATTCACAGGTGGCTTACATATTATTAAATTCAGAACTGCCCCGTGATATTTTATTTTTTCTAAGTAATTAACTATTAATCTTCGAACTTATCATATTTTAGGAGCATATAAACTGGTGTGATGGTGCACACCTGTAGTCCCAGCTACTCTGGAGGCTGGGGTGAGAGGATCACTTGAGCCCAGGACTTCAAGGGCAGCTTAGGCAACATAACTTGTGTAAATTGTTGGTTAAAATAAAAAATAGTTGAAATAGTTGATTAGTAAAAAACATATCGCCATGTTTTGAGTAGATTTAAAACATTGTTGAAAAGGAGAAATACATTAATTTCTGACCCCAAGTCTACCTACAGGAATTACTTTCTTTTGAAATCTCTCCCCCTCACGTAATTCCTCGAATACTCTGATGAAATCAAAGAAGACAACTAAATCAATTAAATGTTGTGGATAATTTATGTTTCATTCTTTTAAATTTTTTTAACCAATATTTCTTTTGAATAGGAAGCTCTCACATGGCAATCTATAGGTGGATGCAGAAGTTGTCAGTGTCTATATAACAGGTTGGGAAGGGTGATGAGTGGTGACTGCTGAGACCTGGAGGGGAAGTAGGAATATATTTAAAATCCTAAATCTTGACATCACAAAACAAAAAAGTCCTATACTTCTTTTTCCCCACCACAGTTGTTAAATTTTATATTTGCTTAATGAATTATTCTTGTAAATAGAGATCAGCCATCTAGAGAAAAGCTCATAGCATTAGGTTTGACATTGTAAATTTTTATTAAATGAATAAAATAAAATATTATTTGTATATTTAAATATACATGTTATTCCAAGAATTAAAATATAGAAATGGGTATATCAACCCAAATGAGCATAATTTCATTGTATTTTGATGGTGCAGAATGTATTTTGGGGTTTGTATTGCTGATTAGTAGTGAGTCAGTGGAGGCAGTATGCCAATAAGAACGACAAAGAAATATGTACTGCTGCGGGCAAGCCACCTGAGTGTTAAAGAAAGATGACTGAGCTTTGGCTGATTTCAGTGAGCTTTCAGTGTGCTCTAAGAGAAAGCATTAACTTCATTATTACATTTTATTTCTAAGTCAAGACATATCAGACACAGCTATTAATGCTGTGATAGTCCAGTACAATTTTCTAATTTGTAACTCAAAAAGAAAAAAATCCCAGACATTGTACATTGAAAATATACCTTAGTATTTAGTAGCTCTTGGCTGGGCACCATGGCCCACACCTGTAATCCCAGCACTTTGGGAGACCAAGGCAGGAGGATTGCTTGAGTCTAGTAGTTCAAGACCAGCCTGAGCAACATAGCAAGACCTTGTCTCTATTAAAAAAAAAAAAAAAGAAAGAATTTAGTAGCTCTTTGTTAGAATAATGCTTCTAAATATTGCCTGTGTATTGAAAATTTTCCACCATATGCTTATTTGTAGCTTTTAGTATTTTCAACCAATATCTGTAATGATTGGGATATTATCATCACTATTTCTAAAGACAAATGCCATCCAGTTCATTTAAGGTCAAACTTTGAGACTGCCGTGGTGACCTAGTATCTGGAATTAGTATATTTATAATGTTGGTTCTTTTGTCTCTTGAATCTATAAACTTTGTACTTAAGCCAATCTTCTTTTCTGCCTGTCTTCTATAAACTGTTAGTAATAAAAAAAGAGTATGTTGACTGTATGCTTGCCTGTTGATGCTTGTTGAAAGGGTATTTATTTACTCTTTCCTTTTCTTCTAAATACTCTCTACTCTTCCTTCTCTCTTTTTTCCATCTTGCATGGCATCTTGGGGCGGAAAGGAATCAGAGTCAGATCAAGAACAGGAGGAAGAGGTAATTTTATGACAGTGTCACTTGTTATCGGCTGTGTCATTGCTGTAACCACTAATAAGAGCACATAGTTAACCTGTGTTCTTAGACGGGGTAGGCGGTTCTTCTTAGTAATTAAAGGGGCACAATTTTACTTAACCTCTCTAAGCCTCTGTTTTCTCATCTTGTGGAGCAACTTAAGGGAATAGTAAAGTTTCCCTGTAAATTGTTGCCATGTCGCTATGCAATACTATATTTTTCCACCAACTGCTAAGAGCTAAACCATTATCTCAGGGGTTCTTAGTCAGAAGACATCTAGTGGTTGAAACTCTTTTTGTACTAAGACATTATTAATGTCTTAATTTTTAATTAAATGTCTTAGTACATTAAAAATGTACTAAGACATTATTTGCCTTTTAAACTTCTATATCCTCACAAACTATAAAGGAGTCTCCCAGAGGCTATACTACATGTGATGATATTGCCACTCTGGCAATTAATGGAATGTATGCTTGCATACTCTTAGGTTCTAGCATTTTCTCAGCCTTCATTTGTAATATGGATATCTATTTATACATATCACACACCATCGGAAGTTTTTCAGGCTCCTCAGTAATTTTTGGGAGTGTAAAGGGGCCCTAAGACCAAAGAGTTTGATAAACACTGAGACCAAAAAACTTTAAGAAGCATATAGCTGATTCCTTAGACTATATCATAATGCAGAACTATGCTAATAATAATAATTTCTTATAAAGTGGGATCTTTACTAAGTGTTGCACACGCCTCATCAATGTCGATCTCTCACAAACACCTATGAGGTGTTTGTTATTAAATACTACATTATTGATGAAGAAAGCAAGTCTTAGAGAGGTTACCTTGAATAAATAGCTGTATGAATTAAACCTGCTTCAATATTTAAAGCAAATGTGTGTTTGTCTCCGTTATAAAGATCTGAAAATGCCCAAATATTATAATAGAAATGAAAAACATAATTGGAAAACTTAAAATAATATGTTTCTAAGATAGACAGATGCATATGTTATTAGTTATATGTAAATGTTTTCAAATATACTAGTTTTCTTTTTTTAAATGTTATTCCAATGCATTCAAAATAAAAAATATAATAAATACCCTTATACCCACCAGCTTAAAATGTAAGCCCTTATCAGTTCAGAAGATGCCCCGGATTCGTTTTTTTTCTGATACCTTGCAATGGAGCAGGGTGAGAGAGGTGACTATAGAAGCACTGTCCTGCCGCACATAGCCATATACACAATCAACTTAAGACTGAAGTCATTCTTTCCCTCAACTGCACAGTCACTCTTTGCTTCACATACTCCATTTCCTTCCTGTACTCAGTGACCCTACCACTACAGCTGTTAAAAATGATAGGGAAGCCAATTTTGCCATGTTCACAAATCACTTTTTTCTCTTAGATAATTTTCCTACTGAATACTTTCTGGAACTATTTAGGGCAATAGATCCAGTTCATATTCTTTTCAGGATCTGGAATGCTGGCTTATTATTAACGATAATGAAACTACTTCTGTAGAACACATCACCCTAGTGTTGCTGTTTGTCATCCTTTCCTTTTTCTCCACTAAATGGATACTTATTATTCAATACTGACTTCACCCTTTTTCTGATGTATTCCCTAAATATGTATTCCAACATCAAAACCAGCCTGGGTCATATCTTCCCAGGATTAACATGCTAGAAAGGACTTTCTACCTGTAGTGTCTAGAAAACAGAAGGTTTTTTTCAAAGTCAGGATAAGAATCATGGAGACTCTCAGGAAAAAATGTAGCAAATTACTCTGACCTTCCTATAGCTATGGTGTCACCCAACATGTATAATTATGAATAGGAGCTTTTTGTGCACACCAGGGGCTATGAGCCAAGGCAGTATTTGTAACCATTCAATTTATGTATGTTTTCTTTCAGATCGATATGACATCAGAAAAAAGTAAGAATTTAAAGAAAATTGAGTTTGTTTGAAAGCTGGCTACCATAAAAAGAAGCATGAATTAAAATGCAAGCTAGTTGCTATTACTAACCACTATAGTAATTACATTTTTATATTATCCTTATTAATCATTAATATATTTATAAAAGCAGCTTGGCCAGTTAAATTACAAATATACCTAATTTGCGAGCTAATTAGCAGTAAAATGCAATGATTATTCATCTAAGCATTCACTTTCTTTTGACATTCTTGTTAACCCTGGTATTGCTGTTATGCTTGTTTAGAAACCCACCCTACCGTTTTGTCCATTTGTTAGCAAAACACTGTCATCTCATCATTTTTTAAGCACTGACATGACAGTATCACTTTTTATGTAATGCAATAGTGACTTCTGTAGAGAGCTCATTATTTTTGTAGGATACACCTGCAAAAGTGATACTGTCTAATAGTTCTTAGCTGAAGCTAACCCCATCCAATGCCTGCCCCCTCCCCCATCACTCTTTTGCACTTTTTACTGTGGTGAAGTGTAACCAATGTCTTTAGAGCTGAGGTCTAACAGACTTCTGTGAAAACTTTCTGAAAAAAAACCACAAAACAAAAATAAACAAAAGTGAAGAGCCAAGAATGCAAAATTAAAACCCCCTGGATAAAATTACTAATCACAACAGCATGTTATTATAGGGTTAATTTTAAATAATGATGCAAATCCCAAACCTGATCTAGTAGAGAGAGAACTGGTTTTGACAGACCTTAAAAGAGCTATCTTAGAACTCATTTCAGGTTTGTAATATCCAATTAAGATTTTAGTTTGTTGGACTATTTCTAGTGACTCTCTGGCTTCTTGTGTGGAAACTCCAGTTGAATTTTACAGATTTCTGCTTTTGTGCCCCAAATGCTTTTTAAAAATCTGATTTTTAAAGTTTATTGAATATCAATAAACTTTATTTCAGAGTTTATTTTGATTTGCTGTATTTCACAGTATATTCCCAAAATGAGAAAACTTAGAACCATGTTTAATATGCTCATGTGGCCCTACACAATGATCTGAGGGCTTTTTTAAAGTCCTAGGACAATGTAATTTACTACTAAGTTATGGAAGTTGCTTTGAATGAGGCTTACCCTCATGTTAAAGCATTATTCAGATCTAGAATGTTTGAGATTCTGGATGTTTTCATTGGTTTATATAATTGAACAAATTTGTATTGGTATAAATTATTTTAATAAATTTATATGTGTAAATTCACATACTGTATCTTCTCAACAAATACAGATTCTCCCAAGAGAAGGCACTTTTGTTTATATGACATATCACATTGCCCTCACTGATTCCTTTTTTTAAGTGATTTTACTTTATTCTCCCACTTTCTTCTTCAGAACTACTCCATTTATTTAAATGGCCTCTTACTTTGCTCTCCTGATACAAACTAGTAAGAATTAAAAATTAATTCATCCATATGGCTCAGTTGTTAAAAAAAAAAGAAAAAAAAATGTTACCATGTTGCTATGATGCCATGGATTTTCCTGAAGGATTTCTAGGTGTTTTGAGTGTTTCAGAAGTTTTAAATACAGACTCAAGTTTGCTTTTGATTTAAAGATAATCATTAAATAATCTTCATCTAGGTATAAACTAATCTCTAAAGAAGTGCTCTGTGGAAGGGACTCTTACCTGAAGTCTTTTTATCAGTACATTTTAGAAGAGTTTACTGAGTTTTCTTCCTTAACCTTAATGGGTGTAAGCCCCCACAACCTAAGCCTCAATATACCACCTTCAGCAGCTTATGCATGGACTCATAGGGAAATAAGTACACTTCGCCACAGTAATGTTTTACATATCTGTTCTAAATTCCCGCCATCCTCCTGCCCATACGTTTCAGCAAGGCCGCCTCTCCCAGCCGTTTTACTCCACCTTTGCTTTGCATGGAAATAACTTGGCTTACATAAACTGTGTGTGTGTCCCGTGTGACTGTCTCTGACTTGGGTTGCCATGCATCACATTTTAACTTTGGACTCACTTATAAGTTTAATCACAATTGTTGTTTCTGTTGTTTTTCTTTCCTTTCCTTTATTTCCCTCCTTGGTCTGTCCATTCTGTGTCTAAACAAGGAGGTTGCTCCAAGGAAAGGACCATGCCTCGTAGCACCAGACTGTTTGTTTCATTGTTAGGTGTGAATTTCCCTTAGATGAAATGCCGGTTTGCAGCTGATTCAGATGTATTTTATATAGTCTTTGTATATTGGTAGAACTAAACATACTGAATTTCAGACTTTTATATGATTAAAAATGTATATACATCATTAGATGTTATTCTGAGCTTGCTACTACTGGCTTTCTCCTAGAGGAAATCAACTTTCTGCAATTTCTAATGCTTTTTTTCTTATTTTTTCCTCATGGTTGGTTTTCTTTTTTTTTTCAACATTGATCTGTAACATCTGAACAATCTTGAGATACCTCTGTGTAATTTCACTGCGTTCTTTGTTTTGATATGTAGTGTTTTTTTGTGTGTGTATGTGCGTCTTGTTTTAGCTTTGTTGTATGTGTGGATGTGCTACAAGTGAGAAAAATTAAGCAAGTTATTTCCTGCTCATTTTTCCTTTTCAGTTGTTTTTTTTTTCGTTAGCCTTGCTTTGCTCTTGTACCCTGAGGCCTTGTGGATCTACCATTCCCAGCCCATTTTGTTGCCCCTCCCACCACCACCACCACAGGAAAAGACGCTGTGTCGTTTCAGTCCTGATTACATTTGCCAATATCTTTTTTGATTTCCATTTTACTTTCAATGTTTTTCATTCACATCAAAGATGATGAGACAGAATCTACAGAAACATCTGTCCTGAAAAGTCACCTGGTTAATGAAGTTCCTGTCCTAGCAAGTCCGGACTTGCTCTCTGAAGTTTCTGAGATGAAACAAGATTTGATCAAAATGACCGCCATCTTGACCACAGATGTGTCTGATAAGGCAGGTTCTATTAAAGTGAAGGAGCTGGTGAAGGCTGCTGAGGAAGAGCCAGGAGAGCCTTTTGAAATCGTTGAAAGAGTTAAAGAGGACTTAGAGAAAGTGAATGAAATCCTGAGAAGTGGAACCTGCACAAGAGATGAAAGCAGTGTGCAGAGCTCTCGGTCTGAGAGAGGATTAGTTGAAGAGGAATGGGTTATTGTCAGTGATGAGGAAATAGAAGAGGCTAGGCAAAAAGCACCTTTAGAAATCACTGAATATCCATGTGTAGAAGTTAGAATAGATAAAGAGATCAAAGGAAAAGTAGAGAAAGACTCAACTGGGCTAGTGAACTACCTTACTGATGATCTGAATACCTGTGTGCCTCTTCCCAAAGAGCAGCTGCAGACAGTTCAAGATAAGGCAGGGAAGAAATGTGAGGCTCTGGCTGTTGGCAGGAGCTCTGAAAAGGAAGGGAAAGACATACCCCCAGATGAGACACAGAGTACACAGAAACAGCACAAACCAAGCTTGGGAATAAAGAAGCCAGTAAGAAGGAAATTAAAAGAAAAGCAGAAACAAAAAGAGGAAGGTTTACAAGCTAGTGCAGAGAAAGCTGAACTTAAAAAAGGTAGTTCAGAAGAGTCATTAGGTGAAGACCCAGGTTTAGCCCCTGAACCCCTTCCCACTGTCAAGGCCACATCTCCTTTGATAGAAGAAACTCCCATTGGTTCCATAAAGGACAAAGTAAAGGCCCTTCAGAAGCGAGTGGAAGATGAACAGAAAGGTCGAAGCAAGTTGCCCATCAGAGTCAAAGGCAAGGAGGACGTGCCAAAAAAGACCACCCACAGGCCACATCCAGCTGCGTCACCCTCTCTGAAGTCAGAGAGACATGCGCCAGGGTCTCCCTCCCCTAAAACAGAAAGACACTCTACTCTTTCCTCTTCCGCAAAAACTGAAAGGCACCCTCCAGTATCACCATCAAGTAAAACTGAGAAACACTCACCTGTGTCACCCTCTGCAAAAACGGAAAGACATTCACCTGCGTCATCATCGAGTAAAACTGAGAAACACTCACCTGTATCACCCTCGACAAAAACTGAAAGGCACTCTCCTGTGTCATCTACAAAAACAGAAAGACACCCACCTGTTTCGCCTTCAGGCAAAACAGACAAACGTCCACCTGTATCGCCCTCCGGGAGGACAGAAAAACACCCGCCAGTATCGCCTGGGAGAACAGAAAAACGCTTGCCTGTTTCACCCTCCGGAAGAACGGACAAGCACCAACCTGTATCAACAGCTGGGAAAACTGAGAAGCACCTGCCTGTGTCACCTTCTGGCAAAACAGAAAAGCAACCACCTGTATCCCCCACTTCAAAAACAGAGAGGATTGAGGAAACCATGTCTGTTCGGGAGCTGATGAAGGCTTTCCAGTCAGGTCAGGACCCTTCTAAACATAAAACTGGACTCTTTGAGCACAAATCAGCAAAACAAAAGCAGCCACAAGAGAAAGGTAAAGTTCGGGTAGAAAAAGAAAAGGGGCCGATACTAACCCAGAGAGAAGCTCAGAAAACAGAGAATCAGACAATCAAACGAGGCCAGAGACTCCCGGTAACGGGCACAGCAGAATCCAAAAGAGGAGTTCGTGTTTCCTCCATAGGAGTTAAGAAAGAAGATGCAGCTGGAGGAAAGGAGAAAGTTCTCAGCCACAAAATACCTGAACCTGTTCAGTCAGTGCCTGAAGAAGAAAGCCACAGAGAGAGCGAAGTGCCCAAAGAAAAGATGGCTGATGAGCAGGGAGACATGGATCTACAGATCAGCCCAGATAGGAAAACCTCCACTGACTTCTCTGAGGTCATTAAGCAAGAGTTGGAAGACAATGACAAATACCAACAATTCCGCCTGAGTGAGGAGACAGAAAAGGCACAGCTTCACTTAGACCAAGTACTCACTAGTCCTTTCAACACAACATTTCCACTCGACTACATGAAAGATGAGTTCCTTCCAGCTCTGTCTTTACAAAGCGGTGCTTTAGATGGCAGTTCTGAAAGCCTAAAGAATGAGGGGGTAGCCGGCTCTCCGTGTGGCAGCCTGATGGAGGGGACCCCTCAGATTAGTTCAGAAGAAAGCTATAAGCATGAAGGCCTAGCAGAGACCCCTGAGACGAGCCCAGAAAGCCTTTCTTTCTCACCAAAGAAAAGTGAGGAGCAAACTGGGGAAACAAAGGAAAGCACCAAGACAGAAACCACCACAGAAATTCGTTCAGAAAAAGAGCATCCCACGACCAAAGACATTACTGGTGGCTCTGAAGAGCGAGGTGCCACAGTCACTGAGGACTCAGAGACCTCTACTGAGAGTTTTCAGAAAGAGGCCACTCTAGGCTCTCCCAAAGACACAAGCCCTAAAAGACAAGATGATTGCACAGGCAGCTGTAGTGTAGCATTAGCTAAAGAGACACCTACAGGACTGACTGAGGAGGCAGCCTGTGATGAAGGTCAACGTACCTTTGGTAGTTCAGCCCACAAGACACAAACTGATAGTGAGGTTCAAGAATCCACAGCCACCTCAGACGAGACAAAGGCCTTGCCGCTGCCTGAGGCTTCTGTAAAGACAGATACAGGAACTGAATCAAAACCTCAGGGAGTCATTAGAAGTCCCCAAGGGTTAGAACTTGCACTCCCTAGCCGAGATAGCGAAGTCCTCAGCGCTGTGGCTGATGACTCATTAGCAGTGAGCCACAAAGACTCTCTGGAAGCCAGCCCTGTGCTAGAAGATAACTCTTCACACAAAACCCCTGATTCTCTGGAGCCAAGTCCTCTGAAAGAATCCCCTTGCCGTGACTCTCTGGAAAGCAGCCCTGTTGAACCAAAGATGAAGGCTGGAATTTTTCCAAGTCACTTTCCTCTTCCTGCAGCTGTTGCCAAAACAGAACTCTTGACGGAAGTGGCCTCTGTGCGGTCCCGGCTACTCCGAGACCCTGATGGCAGTGCTGAGGATGACAGTCTTGAGCAGACATCGCTCATGGAGAGCTCAGGGAAGAGCCCCCTTTCTCCTGACACCCCCAGCTCTGAAGAAGTCAGCTATGAGGTTACACCCAAAACCACAGATGTAAGTACACCAAAACCAGCTGTGATTCATGAATGTGCAGAGGAGGATGATTCAGAAAACGGGGAGAAAAAGAGGTTCACACCTGAAGAGGAGATGTTTAAAATGGTAACCAAAATCAAAATGTTTGATGAACTTGAACAAGAAGCAAAGCAGAAAAGGGACTACAAAAAAGAACCCAAACAAGAAGAATCTTCTTCATCTTCTGACCCAGATGCTGACTGTTCAGTAGATGTGGATGAACCAAAACATACAGGCAGTGGGGAGGATGAAAGTGGTGTCCCTGTGTTAGTAACTTCGGAGAGCAGGAAGGTGTCTTCCTCCTCAGAAAGTGAACCTGAGTTGGCACAGCTTAAAAAAGGTGCTGACTCAGGCCTTTTACCAGAACCAGTGATTCGAGTACAACCTCCTTCTCCACTTCCATCAAGCATGGACTCCAATTCCAGTCCAGAAGAAGTACAATTCCAGCCTGTCGTTTCCAAACAATATACTTTCAAGATGAATGAAGATACTCAGGAAGAGCCAGGCAAATCAGAAGAAGAAAAAGATTCTGAATCCCATTTAGCTGAAGACCGTCATGCTGTTTCCACTGAGGCTGAAGACAGGTCTTATGATAAGCTAAACAGAGACACTGATCAGCCAAAAATCTGTGATGGCCATGGATGTGAGGCCATGAGTCCTAGCAGCTCAGCTGCTCCTGTCTCTTCAGGTCTACAGAGTCCGACTGGTGATGATGTTGATGAACAGCCAGTCATCTATAAAGAATCATTAGCTCTCCAAGGCACTCATGAAAAAGACACAGAGGGAGAAGAGCTTGATGTTTCTAGAGCAGAATCTCCACAAGCAGATTGCCCCAGTGAAAGCTTTTCATCTTCATCCTCTTTGCCTCATTGTTTGGTATCTGAAGGAAAAGAATTAGATGAAGACATATCTGCCACATCTTCTATTCAAAAAACAGAGGTCACAAAAACTGATGAAACATTTGAGAACTTACCAAAGGACTGCCCCTCTCAAGACTCATCCATTACTACTCAAACAGATAGATTTTCCATGGATGTTCCCGTGTCTGACCTAGCTGAGAATGATGAAATCTATGATCCACAAATCACTAGCCCTTATGAAAATGTCCCTTCCCAATCTTTTTTCTCTAGTGAAGAAAGCAAAACCCAAACAGATGCAAATCACACCACAAGTTTTCACTCTTCTGAAGTGTATTCTGTTACCATCACATCCCCTGTTGAAGACGTTGTAGTGGCAAGCTCCTCTAGTGGAACTGTTTTAAGCAAAGAATCTAATTTTGAGGGCCAGGACATAAAAATGGAATCCCAACAGGAAAGTACCTTGTGGGAAATGCAATCAGACAGTGTCTCTTCATCTTTCGAGCCTACTATGTCCGCTACAACAACAGTTGTTGGTGAACAAATAAGCAAAGTCATCATCACAAAAACTGATGTGGATTCTGATTCTTGGAGTGAAATTCGGGAAGACGATGAAGCCTTTGAGGCTCGTGTGAAAGAGGAAGAACAAAAGATATTTGGTTTGATGGTAGACAGACAATCACAGGGTACCACCCCTGACACCACTCCTGCTAGGACCCCAACTGAAGAGGGGACCCCAACAAGTGAGCAAAACCCATTTCTGTTTCAGGAAGGAAAATTGTTTGAAATGACCCGAAGTGGTGCCATTGATATGACCAAAAGGTCCTATGCAGATGAAAGTTTTCACTTTTTCCAAATTGGTCAAGAATCCAGGGAAGAGACTCTCTCTGAAGATGTGAAAGAAGGGGCTACTGGGGCTGATCCCCTACCGCTGGAGACATCAGCTGAATCACTAGCACTTTCAGAATCAAAAGAAACAGTGGATGATGAGGCAGACTTACTTCCAGATGACGTGAGTGAGGAAGTAGAGGAAATACCTGCTTCGGATGCTCAACTTAACTCCCAAATGGGGATTTCAGCCTCCACTGAAACACCTACAAAAGAAGCTGTTAGTGTAGGGACCAAGGACCTCCCCACCGTGCAAACGGGTGATATACCTCCTCTCTCTGGTGTAAAGCAGATATCCTGCCCCGACTCTTCTGAACCAGCTGTACAAGTCCAGTTAGATTTTTCCACACTCACCAGGTCTGTTTATTCAGATAGGGGTGATGATTCTCCCGATTCTTCCCCAGAAGAACAGAAATCAGTAATCGAGATTCCTACTGCACCCATGGAGAATGTGCCTTTTACTGAAAGCAAATCCAAAATTCCTGTAAGGACTATGCCCACTTCCACCCCAGCACCTCCATCTGCAGAGTATGAGAGTTCAGTTTCTGAAGATTTTCTATCCAGTGTAGATGAGGAAAATAAGGCGGATGAAGCAAAACCAAAGTCCAAACTCCCTGTCAAAGTACCCCTCCAAAGAGTTGAACAGCAGCTCTCAGATCTAGACACCTCTGTCCAGAAGACAGTGGCTCCTCAGGGACAGGACATGGCAAGCATCGCACCAGATAATAGAAGCAAATCTGAATCTGATGCTAGTTCTTTGGATTCAAAGACCAAATGCCCAGTAAAAACCCGAAGTTACACTGAGACAGAAACAGAGAGCAGAGAGAGGGCCGAGGAACTTGAGTTAGAATCAGAAGAAGGGGCCACAAGACCAAAGATACTTACATCCCGATTGCCAGTTAAGAGCAGAAGCACTACATCTTCCTGCAGGGGGGGCACGAGCCCCACAAAAGAAAGTAAGGAGCATTTCTTTGACCTTTACAGAAATTCCATAGAATTCTTTGAGGAGATTAGTGATGAGGCTTCCAAATTAGTGGATAGGCTGACACAGTCAGAGAGGGAGCAGGAAATAGTTTCAGACGATGAAAGTAGTAGTGCCCTGGAAGTATCAGTAATTGAAAATCTGCCACCTGTTGAGACCGAGCACTCAGTTCCTGAGGACATCTTTGACACAAGGCCCATTTGGGATGAGTCTATTGAGACTCTGATTGAACGCATCCCTGATGAAAATGGCCATGACCATGCTGAAGGTATTTGCCAGCCACCGGGATTCCCTGTGCTACGCATGTCATAAAATTGATATAGTTTTTTTGTATGTTTGTTTTATTTGATGATTTGTGTCTCATTTTCTTTAAGCTTTCTGTAGTGGCTAATGTGTTTGTGTAAGCCCTTTGTGTTTTGTGCTTTCTCTGTATACTCTTGTCTAAGAAAACAATCTCAAGATTGAGTAATGAGAATGCTTATGGAAAACATAAACATAATAACCGGGCAACAGTGATCTTGCCTTTTTTAGCCTCTGCACGTAATAAGGCCATGCGAGCTTTGAGTTTTGTTGTTCTGAAGTCCCAAGCTTAGACTCAAATTAAGCACTTTTGCACATAAATATATTGTATTTTGTTTCATAGTATGAAGACATTGCTTTTCTTCTTATCTTCGCATACTTTAAAATAATTTGTACTTACAATTTTGTAATCATTAGGAAGCCATTTGCTTGAGAAGATTTCACATAACATGAAATTCTAATTGTTGTGGATCTGTTTTTGATTCAGAAAGGTTGGATTTCAGATACCATTGGTAAATACTTTAAGCAAACAAACCTAAGGTAAAAATATGCTTTTCATTTATGTGGTAGATGAATGGAGAATGTACTCTCATTAGATGCAGCAGACAACAAAAACTCAAACTTTGCACAGTTTAAGTTGACTGTGAGGGGATGATGGCTCTTTGACTTATAAAAAAGGAAACCATAGATGGCTTTGAAAAGTAGCCTGTGTTCTTCCAATATCTCTACAATGAAGACTGTCATTCTTAAATTGAGGTTATACAAACTTTCCTATACCATGGTCTAAAATGCTGCCTATCAATCAGTGGGAGTTAAACATGAATGGGAAAATTATAGTTTATAGGAGTGAGTAGTATATAAGCTTAATAGCAAGAAGGCAGAAACTTTGCCCAAAAGACATATATGCATACAGATACAATATACACATAAAAATGCATATGCTTTTATCCTCGTTTCTCCAAGGTCACCAGGACCAAATGTTGTTTCTGGCCACACTAATCAGGATGGCCTGATCAGCTCATGATCAACATCTCTTGTGAATCTCTGATGTGATTCCTTTCAGACATGACCTGGAAATGATCTATCCCTCCACAAGCAATAATAGGAGGTCCTAGCCAATTGCTCTACTTCTGCATCCCATTTATGATTTCTCTGGTGTTTCATGAACAAGATGGTGGTCTTCTTGGTGGGCAGTATTCTCTCCAATAATTTAAAAGTCATAAGATTACTAGAAATCAGCAACTTATATAATTATGTCTAGAACTAGTCTTGATTAAAGAGATATGGAAGCAGATGGTTTTCATGATTCATATTAGATCTATTCCCCATTCCACCCCAGAAATCAGACACACAATATGATCTGAAATGTAGTATCTAGTTTGTGCTTTCAAATATTTGGAGAAGTGACTTCCTTTCTTTGAATGAATCAGTACTGTGGTTCCTCTCCTGTCATAGACAACCTTTGGCCATTCTGTTTTTGACCTTCTCCAGATCCACAGGATGAGCAGGAACGGATCGAGGAAAGGCTGGCTTATATTGCTGATCACCTTGGCTTCAGCTGGACAGGTAAAAAGAATGTGACCCAGGTTTTCAACAAAACCTGACATAGATGCATCAGTCAGGTGTCATTCACAGCATAAAAGGTACCCCCCACTTTCTTGAGAAAGAATACATGAAAAGAAGAATAAACTAAGAACTAGAAAACCTGGGCTCTGCATCAGCTAATGGTATAGCCCAGGGCAGGCCTTTTATCATCTCTGAAATTTAGAATAATAGAACTTTCTATTTGAAGATTTAGAGAATATACCAACATTCAGGAACCTCTGTTGGCAGTTGTGGATATCTAAATTTGGGGGAGATTATTATGTTTCAAAATCATTTTTAGATGTAATTTTTATCAAATTTAATGTGAGATTTAACCAGGGCTCCTTCTTTTAGATACCTTATGTCAAAAATCTTCATAGTAAACAACACTAAAAATTGCTTTGGGTAAGTGTTAAAACACACATGAATGAGATATTTCACTAATATTTTTGAGAAATGAGAGTGTTTAAGTATAGAAATTTTATGTTAATAATTTATTAAGGAAAAGTGAATTCTAAAATCAATATACTTTATTTACACATTATGAATTGTATGTTTTAAAAACTATACATTTTCATCTACTTGTGACTTAACCTATTAAAGCAAGATTCTCAGTCTGGCTTTTTTTTTTTTTTTAATATCACTTGTGACTACTTCAAAGAGACAAACATTGTAAAATAATATTCTTTTCCTTTCCATTTCTTAGATTTGGTGATGAATAGGAGCCCATAATACTCATAAAGATAACTACTAATTTAGAGTACATGACTGGAGAAGTGGCCACTTTCTCACTTGTAATAATTTTAAAGTAATTCTTACATACTGATCAGACTTAACTAATTCGGGGTTTTAGGGGAGAGAATGATACCAAACTATCCGTGATTGACTTACTAGATAACATTCAGAATTATTTATTTTGGTTTTTAAATATGTTTGTATCCATACCTACATAGTAAATGCAATATGTATATATTTGGTAAAAATTCAAATCCTACCACCATATAGAATGACATAGAATGAAAAGTAAATATGACTCTCACACCTACTTCTATCTTCTAGCCGTGTGCCTCAGAAGTAACTGCTAATACTTTCTCATGCTTTTAGAAAAAATATACAGTGCCTATATTTATGCCTGTTATTTAAAAGTAAGAAAAGTTTTACTGAATAATATTCCTCATAAGTAGTCTGTTAACATATACACATGTATTTCATTCTTTTAAGTGGGTATTTAATTCCACTATATGGAGGTTCCATAATTTTATTAATGGCTTTTGTTGATGGGCTTTAGGTGGTTTCCCAGTAACGGCAGTAAATATTCTTGTGCATTGGTATATTTTTGTGAGTATATCTATAGGGCATATTCTTAGAAGTAGAATTGCTGCGGAAAAGATACGTATATTTTTAATTTTGAAAGATATTGTCAAATTGCCTTCAAAAGAGGTCACCCTATTTACCCACACACGCATACACACACCCCATAATGTATAAGCATCCATATGTAATGGTTTTTTGTTTGTTATTTTGTTTTTGTTTTGTTTTGTTTTACAGAGACAGGATCATGCTCTGCTGCCTAGGCCAGAGTGTAGTGGCACAATCATAGCTCACTGTAACCTCAAACTCCCAGGCTCAAGTGATCCTCCTGCCCCAGCCTCCTGAGTAGCTAGGACCTCAGGCAAACACTACCATGCCCAGCTAATTTTTTAAAATTATTTTTTGTAGAAATGAGGTTTTTCTATGTTGCTCAGGCTAGTCTTGAGCTTCTGGCCTCAAGCAATCCCTACCACCTCAGCCTCCTAAAGTTCTAGGATTACAGGCATGAGCTACTGGGCCCACCCAATCCATATGGAAGGTTAATAGTAGAATTCAAAGGAAAATTTTGTGTCTTCTTCCCTGGATCAATTAATGCTTCCTCGACCTCTTATTCAGTTGACATCAAATCAAAGAAAGGCATTTATCCAACCACCATAATATAGCTACAACTAGTATTTATCAAAGTATCCAGAAACAGGATTTATAATACTCAAAACATCACCTATGTTAATTAAAGGGAGAAACTTTTTTTCTTTTGTTATCAGTCATTTATTTTCCATTATCTTGCTTAAAAGTATAAGCAAGTATTAATGATCTCATTTGCATTTTGGAATCAAATGGGCCTGAATTATACATATCTTATCATTGCTGCCTCACACTTACTATTTTCACTATGCAGTGATAAATTCTATACCCAGTTTTAGGGGAAAAAATCCATAATTAGTACTAGAAGAACAAAGGCATATAAGAGTCACTTCTAATATGTAGAAATTAAGGAACTCAAATACTCACCACAATATAAAGAACACATCATTTACAAAATCACAAAGCAAAATGTAGAGACTGAAACCTTGAAGTTAATGTGTTTACAAAGTAGTATTTTATCTTCTAGAATTAGCAAGAGAACTGGATTTCACTGAGGAGCAAATTCATCAAATTCGAATTGAAAATCCCAACTCTCTTCAAGACCAGAGTCATGCACTGTTGAAGTACTGGCTAGAGAGGGATGGGAAACATGCTACAGGTAAGTGGGGAACTATATGCATATTGGGCTAAAGTTGGACATGTCTTGCTCAACAACCGCATCTTGCAAATTCAGTAGAATAGTAAAGAAGCAAATGCCATTAATCTGCAGTACAGTGGGTCCTTGAGTAATATCATTTTGTTCAGTGTCATTTCCTTATAACATTGATGAGAAAAAAGAATCAATTCCCAGCAAGGCCACTGTCTGTGTATAGTTTGTGTATCCTCCCCATGTCTGTGTAGCTTTTTCCCCAGTATTCCAGTTTCCTCCCACATCCCAAAGATGTGCACATCAGTTTCACTGGTGTTTCTACATTATCCCATTCTGAGTGAGTGTGGGTGTGTGTGAGTGCCCCCTGCAATGGGATGGCATCATCTCCCAGCTTGGTTCCCATGCAAAGTGCTCTGAGCTGCTGGGTTAAGTTCCAGCCACTTGAGACCCTGAACTGAATAAGGGGATTGGGAAAAGAATGAATGAATTGATACAAATTGTTGTCAAATGAAAATGTATAGAGTCCATGGTAATTACACAAATGCATGAAATAAATGATGCCTTAGGAAAGTACTCAGCGAGCCCACCATATTTGTTATTGTTTGTTTATGAATGGCATGGTGGGAGGAGGTGCTCCTTACAATTTTCACTTTGCAAAGATTTATTCCTTGATTGAACCCCACCACCACTATGACCGCCATCACGCATTGGTTCCTCAAAAATTGAATAATTATCTTACTTATGTTTATTAGTCTTTCTTAAATGTATGTGTAACTCACTTTCACTTCAGTGTTTAATATTAAAAGTGTTTGGGGTTTTATTTAGAAGTTTGGCAGTGTTTTTGTGACCAGAACATTGTTTTCTAAGAATCTATCAATGATGTTGAGTGAGAACTTAGTGAACTACTGTAAGCAAATGAGAACAAGCTACTGTCACTTCTGAAGTATGCATGTTGCTTAAAAACTCTTGCACGATATGCGTATGAACCGCATTAAATAACAGCCCTCACTTCTAACAGTAATGTTACTCAAACCCTAATATTTTTAAAATATTGATAAGTGGACACAATTGCTTTACTTAGCATTGTTTCACTGGTAGTGCATTACCTTCTGTTTCTGCTTCCTTTACTCATAAATAACATCCAGTCTACATTTATCATTCCTTGTCTTTACATTCTTCTAAGTAGAATTGTCAGATTTAGCAAATAAAAACAGAAGGGTGCCCAGTTAAATTTAAGTTTCAGGTGGTCAGCAAATACATTTTTAGCATAAGCATATCCCTTGTAATATTTGGGGCATATTTATACTAAAGAAGTATTTGCTTTTTATCTGAAATTCAGGTATGGTGGGTGTCCTGTATGTTATCTGACAATTCTACTTTTAGGGCTTTTGCCCATGCTGTACCACTTTTTTTATGCATATCTCTTTTGTCTGTTGGCTTATTTTTACAAAGACTTTTAATTAGGCTTTGATTGTTTTTTTCTGTACAGATATCAAAAATTTAGTAAGGCAGTTGAGTGAAAGAGATTTTTAAGAGTACCTCTCAGACATAATAAATGCTGTTTCTCTAATGTGTCAGATACCAACCTCGTTGAATGTCTCACCAAGATCAACCGAATGGATATTGTTCATCTCATGGAGACCAACACAGAACCTCTCCAGGAGCGCATCAGTCATAGTTATGCAGAAATTGAACAGACCATTACACTGGATCATAGTGAAGGTCAAACTGTGTGTGTGTATGTGTGTGTGTGTGTGTGTGTGTGTGTGTGTTGTGTCTGTGTGTGGTTAATTGAGGCACTGGACCTACTGTCTTTTTTTTTTTTCAGAAGGTAGACCATGGCCTATGGTGATCATATGTTCTTTTCCTTGCTACCCTGAGGCTTTCCTCCCTGTTTTACACACCCTCCCACCTCCGCTTCATGCTCATTCTTTGTTATTTCACAGATAACAAAATGATCCATTGAATTCCTTTTCCTCAGTTCCATGGTGGCACTTCTTACACTTGTATTTTTTTATGCTACCTTAGCCACGTATTTCTAGGCTCACAACTAGGACTATATCACTACCAGTGACTGTACATTTCCTCTTTTACTTCTGCACCAACAGTGCTTCATACCCTCGGGGACCTCCAGCCATTGGCCTTACCACCTTTTCAGTGTTAAAGTTCCCCTAACCTATTCTCATTCATTTGTGGTCTCTAACACTGTTTTTTTTTTTCTCTCTCTCTCTTATCTCTATTTTACATGTTGTCTTCTTCCTTCAAACCTCCAACACTGTCTCTTTTCTTTATTTATACCCAGCTGATGACCAAACTTCCTATTTCTTAGAAAATAATAAGAATAATCAGAAGCAAATGTCTATATTTTTCCACCACGAATCTACCAACATGAGTGCATCTCAATGCATATACTTAACTCTACCTTCCATCCTATTAAAATGGATAAAATTTCTTCACTTTTCTAAAGCCATCATCTCTTGTTTTGTACTAGATTTCATCTCCTTTTACTCAATCAGGGACTCCATTCCTGCAAGTATCCCTTTTGGCTTCCTACCACTAGACCATACCCAACAGCATTAAACCATGCTTTAATAGATCCCATCTTTAAAAACAAAACAAAGCAAATAACTCCTTTTACCCTATATGTCCCCCCTGTATTATTGCTGTTACTCCATCCATTTCACAGGAAACCTCTTAAAAGAACAGTCTGAATTTCCTGTCTCTACTTCCTCTCTTCCCATTCCCTCTAGAGCTCTATAATTCACTCTAGTCAATCTTATAAAATTCACCTATTGTTTCCTCTTTTTCAAATCTAGCAGGCAGTTCTCATTCTTCAACTTACTTTGCCTCTGGGTAACATTTGGCATGAATAGTGAAGCCTGCCTTCTTAAAACATTTTCTTTACTTAAATTTCATGACATTCTTGCTTCCTTTTTTTTTTTTTTTTTTTTTTTAACTTTACTGGCTGTTTCTCCTTCCTGTGGCAGGTTACTTCTCATGGATGTGAATGATGATGTATCTTAACTGTTGAGCAAGAGCCTCATAGCTTGTCCTCATCTCCCACCTCTGTCTCTATCGCACTGGTCCTGCACGCCTGGCCTCCTTGCCATTTCTGGAGCACCCTCTGCATTCTCCTGTTTCAGGGCCCTGGTATTTTCTGCTCCCTCCACCCTAGCATGTTCTTTCCTCAGATCAACATATACCTTTTTCTCTCACTTTATTTAGGTCACTGCTCAAATATCGCCTCCTAAGCAGAGCCTTTCCTGACAAGTCTATTTAAAATACTAGCCCCATTTATCCTCTACCTTTATCCTGGTTTACTTTTCTCCCAATATTTATCATAAATATATATCTGCAGAAATGCAAGTTCAGTGGGGACGGAAGCTTTTTATATCTTATATCTTGTTCACTGCTATATATCCAGCATCTAAGCAGCACTTATTACATAGTTGGTGCTCAATATATATCTGTTGAATAAATGAGTCAATAGATGAATGCCAGTCACTCCTCTGCTAAACATCTTTCAATGACTCCTCATTTCCCTGGATATAATGAAATTCCTTAGCCTGTCATAAAAGACTCTACATAAAAAGAGTACTATCCTTATAGTGTTAGAGTGAGTATTAATCAAGTTAATACTTGCAGTGCACTTGAAACGGTGCCTAACATGGAATAAATTTTCAGTATGTATTAGCTATTGTTTGTTATGATGATTATTAACTGTACTCATCTTACTCTTCAGATTCTGTGCTTTGACTGTCTCAGTCAATTCCCACTTGCCATTAGGTCTCCTTGGCATGTAACACACTCTGCATTTTCTTTCCAAATTCTAACCCCATGTTAGGTGCTCCCACACTCATTGACTGGCACCTATGACCCAGTTGCTCTGCACTGGAATTGACCGTTACTTGCGTGGACTCTTCTACATGATCCGTATCTTGAAGGTGGACACAGTGTCTTCTTCATCTTTGTAATCCATGGGCCCATCTCAGGATGTAGCACATTTATCTTCTTATTTTTTTTATCCTCTTATATTTATTACTTAATAAATATCCATTCAATATAGGTAAGCTTCAACTAAATACTTAAATCATTCTGCCTTTAGGGTTCTCGGTACTTCAAGAGGAGTTATGCACTGCACAGCACAAGCAGAAAGAGGAGCAAGCTGTTTCTAAAGAAAGTGAGACCTGCGATCACCCTCCTATCGTCTCAGAGGAAGACATTTCTGTTGGTTATTCCACTTTTCAGGATGGCGTCCCCAAAACTGAGGGGGACAGCTCAGCAACAGCACTCTTTCCCCAAACTCACAAGGAGCAAGTTCAACAGGATTTCTCAGGGAAAATGCAAGACCTGCCTGAAGAGTCATCTCTGGAATATCAGCAGGAATATTTGTGAGTTTCCAAAGAAAGCCTGTCAAATGTAATACCAAAGAAACAGGCTATTGTGGATGCCAGGCATATATAAGCATAACTAGTTTTTAAATACTTTTTAAAATGACCCTACCAAACACAAGTGCCAGAGCTAAAGGGGAAAAAAAAAGCGTTAACATGTAAGAGACATAATTGTGACAGTGTTTGGGGCACAGACCTACAAGAACCAACTTCCAGAGCTGTGACTTTGAACAAGTCCTTATGTGCTTTGAATCTCCATTTCCACATCTGTAAATTATAGTAATAATACACACTTGACTCATCTCACAGGGTCAAAAGTGTGTTTATGAAAGCTTCATCTAAACTGTAAAATTCCCTGTAGATGACACGGCCATGACTTATAATATTGCTGCACCTCATTTGCTCTGTAGCACTTCAAATATGCTCTGTAGCACTTCATCGTGCCATTGCTGGTTAGGAGTATGGTCAGTGATGATGTAGATACCACAGCCAATGGTGCATTTCAACCAAGCTATGAGGGGACTAATCATAAAAATATAAATGCAATGCAAACTAACCACATAGAATAAAAGACTATTAAAATGAGTTGGAATAGAGTTGGGGTGGGAGTAAAGAGAAGCCTTCCGAAGAGCTTCTGGCTGAAGGAAGCTGCAGGCCTAATTTGGCTCAGAATTTAAGTTCCGGCCTTTATGGAAGCCAAGGAGAAAGAGTTGTTTAATTGACACTGATTGTCCAGAAAAGAAAACAAATTGTGAGAAAGGCCAACATATCCCTAAACCTGAAGTCTGAGAATAGGGTGTCATGAGATTGTATCAAAACATTTCGCTTGTCATTTGGTGAGTTTTGTGGTCATTGACATGAGAAGAGGATGAAATGAGTAATGAAATTATCTCTTCTTCCACTGAGCCACCCTTGCCCCATCAACCTGTAGGTTTTAAAGAAAATATAAGGAAGAAGGAGAAGGACCAAGGAAAAGATGGGAAGAAGAGGAGAGGATAACAGAGAGACATTTTAGGCATTTAATATCTATGGAGTGATAGATTGCACTGAATACCAAAAGAAGGCACAGAAAAGGCCAATAATCTTATTTAGCAGTTGAGGTTATCAAAGTTACATTGGAGTAACTCCAGACTATATCAATGAAAAAAGTTTCCATGTCAACAGATGCCTCTATTATTAAATAAAACAGTTTTTCAGAGGTACAATAAGAATTTCCTTGTATTTATACTTATGATAACTATATTAACATGGGGATTTATGTAATTCTGCCAAATTTTTATTCTTGCTTCAAAAGCCTTATTATCTACAAATACTTATGTAAAATTCCTCGCATCCTCAATATCACCTTGAGTTATAAAAGAAAAGATGAAACTATAACTTATATACATTGTAGAGGTTGGGTAACTGTAATACATTTTAGGATAATTTTTGTCTTTAGAATAATAACATCACTCTCTGCCAGTGCTAGATCAATGAGCTACAACTCTATATCTTGTCATATTATTTTTCTTCAAATGTCCTTTCTTGGCCAAATGTACAAAAACTATTTTGACTGTCATAGACTATGGAAAAACCAGCTCCATCTTGCCTTTCGATTTCCTTGCTTGAGCAGGAGGTGAAATGCAAATGTCCCTGAAGTCTCATTTGGCTTTTTGATTCCAGTGTGACAACTCCAGGAACAGAAACATCAGAGACTCAGAAGGCTATGATAGTACCCAGCTCTCCCAGCAAGACACCTGAGGAAGTTAGCACCCCTGCAGAGGAGGAGAAGCTGTACCTCCAGACCCCAACATCCAGCGAGCGGGGAGGCTCTCCCATCATACAAGAACCCGAAGAGCCCTCAGAGCACAGAGAGGAGAGCTCTCCGCGGAAAACCAGCCTCGTAATAGTGGAGTCTGCCGATAACCAGCCTGAGACCTGTGAAAGACTCGATGAAGATGCAGCTTTTGAAAAGGTAAGACATTCCTCTCCACTTTCTCGCCCACCTGTAACAAAGCTACAAATCTTCCAGTTTCCATTTCTATGATGGTTTATTTTTTGCACTTCAAAACAAAAAAGTTAACCAAATTAATTAACCTGGCACATGGAAACCCTCAATCCCTTTTAAAATCTGAGAGCCGATGAATCTTGAAGAAATGGCGCACAGTTCCAGTGCTGTTGATTTGACCATGAGCCCTGATCTTATCATTGGAAAGTCTTTTGCTAAGAAAAATGAATACGGTGGTGAAACAATATATCTGGAGGAGCTTTTCAAAATTAGTAAACTTGGGCATGAAACCTGGTGGCAGAGATTAGCAGCACCAGGTAAGTCAGCCATGGGATGTGCTGGGACCAGCAGGCTTGTTAGATCTCTGGCCTGCCAGGTGATGAGCACACAGACTGTGGATATTGGGTGGGGTTTAGCTGCCAAAATAAATTTTTCTCATTAGAGGCAAGATGATTTCCAAGTTAGATTTTTTTTTTTAAGATTTATTTTAGGAATGACTGAGAAAAAGAACATTGTACCTAAATTAAATGTCCAAATGCCTGACGGTGGCATAAGATTGCATCATAGCGCTTCCTTTGTCATTAAGTGAGTTTTAAAATTGTGAAAAGGGGTGGGGACCATGTTAAGAAATTAACCATTGGCCAGGCGCGGTGGCTCACACCTGTAATCCCAGCACTTTGGGAGGCTGAGGCGGGTGGATCATGAGGTCAGGAGATCGAGACCATCCTGGCTAACATGGTGAAACCTCGTCTCTACTACAAATACAAAAAAATTAGCCAGGTATGGTGGCGAGTGCCTGTAGTCCCAGCTACTCCGGAGGCTGAGGCAGGAGAATGGCATGAACCCGGGAAGCGGAGCTTGCAGTGAGCCAAGATCATACCACTGCACTCCAGCCTGGGCGACAGAGCAAGACTGTCTCAAAAAAAGAAAAAAAGAAATTGATCAACAATTTATTCTCAAAATGTGGTCTATATAGTTCACATACGTCAGAATTGATTGGAGAGCTTGATCCCTCCTCAGAAATCCTGAATTAGAATGAATCCCAGGGTGGGGAGGGAAAGCAAGAATTTGCCTTTTAAATAACTCCCCAGAGGATTCTCAGCCACAAAAAAAGTATGAGAATCTGTTTGAATTAAACTTAATTTAATATGAATTAAACTTAATTTAATATAAATTAAATTAGATATTGTTTTTTCTTTTAAAAAGTAATAGAATTCAAAAACACTTTATATTTCAAAGTGTTTTTAGAGCATTAATATAAAGCTTAGTAGTAAAAGAAGAGTTAAACAAAATAATTGAAATTTTGGGGGGCAAATAAAGTGAAACAGCATGTGTTTGGGCTTAAGACACACATTTGTTTTTGTTCACTGTAAGAATGAGATCTGCTGCTAGGAATTATCTGAAATCACAACTAAAATTAGGAAAGATCCAGGCAGATGAGAACTGTGTCCTGATTTTGGCAGTTTTCTTAAATAATAAATTCATGCCATGAATGAATTTTTATTCCAAGTTTGCTTTTGCATAGAATTATTCATCTCTCAAATTCTTGGCTTGAATGAGTACTACTAAAAATGTTTCTTACATGTTATCTAGGCTAAAAGTTACCAAATTTAACCTAAGAATCCATAGGCTTAGTGAAGTTAGACTTGAAACAATTATCTGGATAATACATATGTTTAATCTATACTAAAGGAATATGTTTGTATAAGTCACTCTGAATTTCACATAATTTATACAGGCCTGTTCGACTTATTCTTGATGAGTATCAGGCATTTCTCTTAAGCTTCCCATGTGGACCCTTATTTCTCATAACCCTAACTTGGGCATCCAATTTTAATCACTTTTCTTGCCAACCATATTTCTAGGCAGTAGATTCCTGATTATATTTAAAATATAATTTGGTTTAGAATTTACAGGTCTTCCTTTAGCAGAGACAAATGTAAACATATAACTTGAGTTTTACAGTGTGTTAAGTAAATCTACTTGAGCTTTCTCTTTTTTAAAAACAAAATTTCATTAGGGAAGAGTAATTCAATATATGACTCCTAAGGTAATGTGTGCTAAGCTAAAATTATGTTTTTTGCTTTATCTCTGGCTTTTGGCCAGAGCCCTAAAATACTATTGACCACTTTATCTCAACTTCTCCATAGAATTATTCTAATATTATTCATAGTCTACCTTTTTTTGATGCCAGGGAGATGCACTATTGGTTAGATAATAGCTACAGGAAACTTTGACTTCCTGCAAAAAGTTCTGCTAGAAACAGGGGATATTCCTATACCTTTGGGTGAATAATTCCAAGCCTAAGCACCAGTGTCAGTGGCTCATAAGTGTTTACTGAACTGCTTAGGGTCTATGTTTACAGTCAGGCTTTTTTTTTAGGAGTTTAAGTAAAAGAAGTCACATGAGCAAGCTGCTTTTTATTTTGGAGAGATTTTGACAGATGGGTTCTCCAACAGCTCTCAGAATTCCAGAATTTTTTTTCATTCATTGAACAACAACAACAAAAAACCAAAACACTCTATTTTTGTTGATGTCTGAGACCAGCACGTATTTGTTTTCACCTCTACCAACTTGTCCATCAAAGCCTCCATGAATAAAAGTTTCACAATACAATGTAAGCTAAAGAAGAAACCAGTAGTGAAGTCATTCCTTAGCATGTTAAACAAAGCAATGCTTCCATGCTTCCACCAGGAGCTAACAGAGGAATTAGGGGAGCTGGAGGCCAGCTCAGATGAGGAGGCGATGGTAACTACCAGGGTTGTCCGCCGGCGAGTGATTATTCAGGTACCCACTGTTAAATTACTGCACGTCAGGGACAGTCCTGTCCCCATATTCTAAGAGTGATCAACCTGGATCAATGAAGGCTTGGCATGTTCCTTAGGTAGTGCATGGCCATTCAAAAGCAGATCCCTTAACTCTCATAAGTTCTGTTTGCAAACAAATGCAGTGGTTCCAGCTTTCCTCCAGGAGAGCCACCAAGCAAGAGCAAGACTTGGCTTCTTCACTTCCACCCACCTCACCTCTCGCTTTTCTATTTTTGTTGAAGTTTTATCTAACTTTGGTCAGATTCTCCTAAGCATGTTATTACCCACTTGAGTTTTTCACTAGTTGACAGGATTTTGTATCTCAGCAATGCTTCTCAACATCGCCTTTGATTTTCTAACATTCCTCACATTATAAGCACTTGGGAGTAGTTCCTCAGAATTGGTGCCAAACACCACAGTGACCCTTTTCTCTCAACTGTTTAGGGAGACGATATGCCTGAAATACCCCCAGAAACAGTCACAGAAGAAGAATACATTGATGAGCATGGACACACCGTGGTAAAGAAGGTATTGTCTAGTATATCCTAACAGGGTTGATTACAAACTTCCTGTTTAAAATTTATCAATTCCATGGTACTGTCACACAAAAATAAGATACACAAATGAAATACATTTCAGGTTACTAGGAAAATCATTAGGCGGTATGTATCCTCTGAAGGCACAGAGAAAGAAGAGATTATGGTGCAGGGAATGCCACAGGAACCTGTCAACATCGAGGAAGGGGATGGCTATTCCAAAGTTATAAAGCGTGTTGTATTGAAGAGTGACACCGAGCAGTCAGAGGTGAGACAACCTGATTCTCTAAAACCCATTTGATGGAGAGGAACAAAATAGAGCTCAAGAAAGATGAGTGAGATTGTTTATTCATATTTTCCTCACTTCTCCCTTTCATGTGGCAGTTTGCTCTTAGTTGCACATTCACCTTTTTGTTTTCATGATTCTATGTGATTTTAAGACAGCCATCAGGGAGACTTGTAGGCATTATACTCATTGTTTTTGTTTGGTCTTTTTAAAAATATCTATTCTTTATTTAATTCATGGTTGACCACTGCAGAAATCCAAAAGTCAAATTTTGAAAGAATACAATTCTATTTGCTGGGCAAGCAGTATGCTGTGGAGACACCGTGTAGAAACGCACTGTGGTGCTTGTGCCTGGTTGGCACACCAGCCTTCAGAAAGTCACTCTAGATAAATATTTGATATTCAGATTTCTGCATTGCAGAGTTACTAAAATCAGGATCGAGAAACTCTTTGATTTATCCTTGTTTTTTGTTTTAAGACAGAGTCTCACTCTGTCACCCAGGCTGGAGAGCAGTGGCGTGATCTGAGCTCACTGCAACCTCCACCTCCGGGTTCAAGCAATTCTCCTGCTTCAGCCTCCCGAGTAGCTGGGATTACAGGCACCCACCACCACACCTGGCTAATTTTTGTATTTTTAGTAGAAACAGCATTTCACCATGTTGGGCAGGCTGGTCTCGAACTCCTGACCTCAAATGATCCACCCGCCTCAGCCTCCCAAAGTACTAGGATTACAGGCATGAGCCACTGCACCTGGCAATCTATACTTTAATTTATTTCTGTTTTACTTCCCTTTTTCAGGGACATATTTACTTGTTTTGACAAATAGTTTGTGAAATTCTATTTTCCATTCATTCACATCCTCAAAATTTTATATTATACACATGAGATTCTCTAGAAATCTACTTTTCAGTTTCTCATAGCTTTTAGAGCTCCTCCTTTGAGGGCTAATTTCATCTTTGTAATACCAAAAGAAATTATTTAAACATGAGAAAAGAGAGTTTCTTCACATATTATTATGTCTGTATTACACTGAGCAGTTTCTTATTCACAAAACTGATAACTTTTTGTTCAAATGACTAATTAAGATTGCTTTGGTGTTGTGGAGATACAGTCATGATGTAGATATTACCAATAGGTTATAGTTCGTTTTTTTCTAACTCTGCTTCCCATTGCTGTTTTCTGGAAAGCCAGTATGTAACTTTATAGTTTTGTCCTTTGTTTTTTAACATAGAAAAAATTCATCATAGTTACATTTGGCAATCAGACATTGTCTATTGTGTGTCCTTCGATCATTAGGTCACTTTGTGTGAGCCCAGCATTTTGTCCAGTACCTCACAATTTCAGGCTGAGCCAGTGGAAGGCCGTAGAGTCAGCAAAGTTGTTAAAACAACTGTGGTACTTGGAGAGAGGATGGAGAAACATCTGGGGGATTCTAGTTTAGCCACTGATCTTCCTTCAGCCAAAGATGACTTTGAAGAGGTATAGAAGCATCATCATTTGTCTTTTTATGTGTGTGTTTTATGTTGCTTTGCATTTGAAAAGAAAATCGTTTGTCATTGTATCATTCTATACATGAATTCATGGAAAGGTGCAGAATAATTCAAGAGGGTAGAACTCCTGTTTGAATAACTTGCAGAGTAACGTTTCCTTAAACTGTGGTGTTCATTGGTGTCACCTTAACAGCTTTTAAAAATCCAGGTAACTAGGATTTGCTTCTGCTGAATCAGACTCAGAATCTCTGGAGCTGGTATATGATTATACATCTTGTTTAAAAGTCACAGAAGTGTCTTGCTTTGTCAATTAATAAGGGAAAGAAATAAAGACATTGCAAATTATATTTGCTAGCCAGTCTTTTCAAATATAATCTGTGATAGACATTAAAGAAAATTCAGATATATTCCATGTCCATAAATTTTAAAAGCATTTACAATTACTTAAGTTCTGGTTTCCAACAATTAGAAAATGGGTCCACGGTTGGCCAGGCACAGTGGCTCACACCTGTAATCCCAGCACTTTGGGAGGCCGAGGCAGGCGGATCACAAGGTCAGGAGATCGAGACCATCCTGGCTAACACGGTGAAACCCTGTCTCTACTAAAAATACAAAAAATTAGCCAGGCGTGGTGGCGGGTGCCTGTAGTCCCAGCTACTCGGGAGGCTGAGGCAGGAGAATGGTGTGAACCTGGGAGGCGGAGCTTGCAGTGAGCCGAGATTGCACCACTGCCCTCCAGCCTGGGCAACAGAGCGAGAATTCGTCTCAAAAAAAAAAAAGAAAAAAAAGAAAAAGAAAATGGGTCCACAGTAACAGATCCACAAACTCTTACTAAAATCCCCAAATGCTGAAAACCAAAACAAATTTTGTAAGTTAATTTGGAAGTGAAACTTGAAATAAATTGGCATGGAGCTATTATGACATGAAGCTTTTTTATTCTACCTAGAGTGAATGTTTTAGTGACATAAAAATGGGTTTGATTACAGGATGCCATCTTCGCTCTGGAGTATTAGTATTATATAGTACAGTCATGCATTGCTTAACCCACTTATGCCAGAGGTTGCCATTTTTAAAATTTTTGCATGAGTGAAAAATCAGACCTTGGTGATGACCTTGAGCAGTAGGATATAAATAACTTCCACATGCCTAGTGTTCACTAGGCATAAGTGGGTTTTAATGACAGGGATATGTGCTGGGAAATGCATCATTAGACAACTTTGTCATTGTGTGAACATTGTAGAATGTCCTTACACAAACCTAGGTGGTATAGCCTACTATACTTCTAGGTTATATGGTATAACCTATTGCTCCTGGCTACAAACCTGCACAGCATGTTACTGTGCTGAATACTGTAGGCAATTATAACACAATGGTAAGTATTTCCCTATCTAAAAATAGAAAAGGTACAGTAGATAAACAAAATAAAAGATTAAAAATGTTCTACCTGTATAGCATACTTACCATGTAGCTTGCAGGACTGGAGGTTGCTCTGGGAGAGTCAGTGAGTGAGTGGTGAGAGAATGTGAAAGCCTAGGACGTTATTATACACTACAGTAGACTTTATAAACACTGTACACTTAGGCTATGTTACATTTGTTTAAATTTTCCTTTAATTTTTTTAAATCTTCCTTCTGCAATAATAAATTAACTTTAGCTTACTGTAACTCTTTGACTTTATAAGCTTTTACATTTATTTTAACTTTTGACTCTTTTGTAATAACACAAGTTAAGATGCAAACACATTGCACAGGTGCATTAAAAATTGTTTTTCTTCATATCCTTGTTCTATAAACTTTTTTCTGCTTTTAATTTTTTAAATTTATTATTTGTTTTTACTTTTTAAGGTTTTTTTTTTTTTTTTTTTGGCTAAAAACAAAGGCCTAAGCATGTACATTAGCCTAGGCCTACACAAGGTCAGAATAATCAATATCACTGTCTTCCTCCTCCACATATTGTCCCACTGGAAGGTATTCAGGAGCAATAACATATGGAGTTGTCATATCCTAAGAAAACAATGCCTTATTCTGCAATACCTCCTGAAGGACCTGCCTGAGGCTCCTTGATAATTAACTGTTTTTTAATAAGTAAAAGAGTACACTCTAAAATAGTGATAAAAAGTATCACTTTTATAATACTTGATAATGATAATAAGTGACTGTTACTGATTTATGTATTTACTATACATAGTAAATGTATTTACCGTACATAAACCAGTAACATAGTCATTTATTATCATTATCAAGTATTATGTACCCTACATAATTGTATGTGCTGTGCTTTTATATGATTGGCACCTTAGTAGGTTTATTTACACCAGCATCGCCACAAACATCTGAGTAATACATTGCACCATGAAGTTAGAACAGCTATAGCATCACTAGGTGACAGGAATTTTTTAGCTCCATTATAATCTTATGGGACCATGTCATATATGCAGTCCATTTTTAACCAAAATGTCATTATGTAGCATGTGACTGTATATGCATTATATTACCTTGCTAAAATCCAAAAGGGACAAAAAAATCTAAATTTTGAAACACATCTGGTCCCAAAGTTTTGACTAAGGGATCCTGGGCATGTGCAAACATCTACAAAGTACTTTTGCTATTGGAACATTTTGACACTAAATGCTGTATGTGTGTCCTCTACTATACCCATAATATATATTGAAATTATATATGAATTCATTGGAATATTAAAAGCAAACCTCTTAAAATACTTTCAGTTTTCACATTTTGACAACTGGCAATCTTGAATGGTCAAAAATGAATTATCTGTGTTATACCATTTGGGCCTTGTTTGCTTGTTTTTGCCTCTGGTTCTTACATTTATCATTAAAATCTCCACTGTAGAAAGCAGTTGGGTGAAGCAAGGAGGAAATTGAAAGTCAATCCATATGGATGTTGCTTAGCAGCTTTTGTAAAGTACAATAACAAATCTCCCTCACAAATGAGAGAAACTAAAAGGACTTGTTAAATAAAACTCCAAACTTAAGTCTGCTTCTAGGAATTGTATTTATTTATCGTTTCAAGTATATCTTTTCATACTGACTATGAGTAAAGCAAAGCAATAGATTGTTTGAAAGTCTATAGTTTATGATGAGCTTTGTCTTTTCTTTTCTTCTTACTTCAGGCTTTGAGTTACACAGGTAGCCACATGAAAGTCCACTTACCCAGTTTAGTAGAGAATGAAATCCTGAAAGAGGATGGATCAATAATTAAAAGGTTTGGGTTAGCATGGGGTGATGCTTTGCCAACTAACACCATAAAAATTTTTCCAATTTTAAGAAAAGAAGGGGAGAATCCCTACATCTACCCTAAAGAGGATAGAAAACTGCCTACTCTCCTGTATTATAATACTTTGGTCAAGTAATGGATCTATTGAAGTATCATCCCTGAAGTATCCTCTTGATACTTCAAACATAATACTAAGTCATAGCAAGAATGAGACTCACGCTTACACAGTCTGACTCCCTGGGTTTTAGCAAGCCATCAACTTAGTTGAAGCCAGCCTGATGGTATTACATTGTGTCGATAGATTCAGAGAGCATAGGAAGAAGAATCTAATCGATGGATCACAGATTAATTTTGTGACCAGCTATATTCAGCTCAATCTTAGTAAATCATTACTTTGAATGGTATGTGCTTTCTTTTAACAGCTGCTTTATGATTCTGCATGTGAGTGGCCAATAACATAAGCATGAGTTTGATATCCATGAAACAAATATACCTAGCGATGCTGAAACCTGGGGCTTTAATGAGTTAAGCAAGTGTCATGAAAGCAGTAAGCAGCACATTTTTACGCTTATACAAGGGGGCTGACTGTGAGGCACACTGGTCTGCCCAGGTCTCTGTTATGGATTTGATGTATAAACTTGGGCACTGTTCCACAGATCTACTCTGGCTTCTCACTGGTCCTCTAACAGCACTGTAAGTATTGAGATTAATAAAATGTGCTCAGCTTCTCGGTGAAAAGACACAATGGAAATCCAAGTTACAATTGTGCTTCTCACTTCATTGAAAAGGGAGAAAGATTGTCATTCAGAGTATGCTACAGAACTATTTTAAGCCTTTAGAACATAATAATTAGAACAGCAAAATTAAAGGTTCTGTCACAATTCCACCCACCAATCAAATGGGAAAAGAGCAGCAGCTAGGAATTTAAAAGAGTGTAATTGCTCTCTCAGAACTTAAAAAATGCTACATGAATTAAGGATAAAATGCCTTTTATACTCTCAACTTTTAAGTCTTTTATTCAATTATTCAGATGAAACCACATAATCCACGCATGCACTAACATCATGGGCTCTTCAAACAGGAATAGATTTAGAGATCAATTAATCCAAAGTTCTCAATTACAGCTGGTGAATTTGAAGCCAGGAATATAGACAACTCCATAGAGTTTCCACAGCTAGTTAGTTATGGAAGCTAGTTAGTTACAGAACTCTATTTATGATGTACAACATTTATTTTATACATTGTTAAAGATATCATATACATGTGCATATTCAGAAACACATTGGCCTACATTTGCCTACACAGAATATCACGAAATGTCCTATAATGGAGGCTTAACCCCTGGCATCAATGCTATAAAGGCTTCTACTAGCTTTTAGCAGAAATAGTCAGAAAAGTGCCTTTTTGAAGAAAAAAAAAATGGCTGCCGCGTATTTAGGAAAACATCAGATTTCAATCATTGGAATCAAATTTGACCTTTTCATCAGCAAGAACAAATTTAAGTTTGCTTCCAGATGCAGAACAATTCATATAGTATTAAAGGAAAAAGGGGAGTAGAAGAACATAAGGGAAGAAGGAAGAAGGAAACAAGGATGTCCAAAAAAAAGCTGAAAGTATTTTAGCTGAAGTAAGTTATTTTTAAAAATCAGGATGATCGTAACAAATGCATAGAGGTATTGGATGATGGCAGAACTTCCAACTTCTGAACAATGAAAACATAAGGAAAATGCTGGGTAAAGCTACAAAAACTGATCATTTCCTATGGCGGTTTTAAGTGTAGATGCATAGTGTATGGTTATGGACTCAGGCTCTGGAATCTTTGACTCTTGGTCCCACTGTGTGCTAATTCTGTTATTTTTTGTTTGGACTATTGCTTAAATTCTCGGAGATTCAATTTCTTTATTTGTTATACTAGTGTCTGGCCCATACAACACATTCGTCAAATACTTGTGGAATGAGGACCCGCATTTGGAAGTGTATAGTGAAAAAGGCTGCTCTGCCTATGGAGTAGCCATTTTTTATTCCTTTGCTTTCCTAATAAACTTGCTTTTACTTTACTCTAAAAAAAAAAAGAAGAATATATAGTGAAAAGAATTGAGAATGAGCAAATTACTTTTAAGTACAGTTACAGGAAAATATTAGTATGACTTAAAATTAATATGACTATACAAAAGTTATAGCTCCTGGCCCAATGTGGTGGCTCACACCTGTAATCCCAACACTTTGGGAGGCCAAGGTGGACAGATCATCTGAGCTCAGGAGTTCGAGACCAGCTTGGCCAACATGACAAAACCCTGTCTCTACTAAAGATACCAAAAATTAGCTGGGTGTGGTGGCACACACCTGTAGTCCCAGCTACTCAGGAGGCTGAGGCCAGAGAATCGCTTGAACCCGGGAGGCAGAGGTTGCAGTGAGCCAAGATCGCACCAATGCACTCCAGCCTGGGTGACAGAACGAGACTCCGTCTCAAGAAAAGGTGTTATAGTTCCTTTTCTCAAGTAACCACCAGTCTTATAAGGGAGGCAAGTAAACAACAGACTGTTAAATGGCAAGAAATACACAAAATGAGCAACATATGTGAGGCTTGGAGAATCCGGAGGAAGCAGTTGTCTCTCAATGGCTTTTCTCTTTTCCCCTTCCTCCCCCACCATCTCCATATGAAGCCTTAGAGACCTGGGCAGATCTTCATCTTTTGTTGGGAGCCACCTTCTTATATATTGATAGACTAATATTTTAGTTTTTAAAGACATATGCCTCATAAAAAACTTCTCTGAAAACATAATTTTGGGAAGTTTGGGTCAGGGTATGACTGTAAGGTTTAAGCTGGCAGCCAAGGTGTTTCAAATAAATTAAAAAAAGGTTTTTTTAGCCTGTCAAAAGGTACTTGTGGTACTATTTCAGAATTAACCAAACTCTATTAAGTAAGGGCTACTTAATCAAACCATGAATGATTTTATGGTTAGTTTTTGAGAAGATCAAATTAAAGCATGGTTTCATTTATTTTAAATTTTTCTTAAAGATTTAAAAAATACTCCTTGTTCCAAAACACATTTTAAAAAAATCTCATGAATCGTTTGAGAGAGGGGAGCCATGTTTAAAAGAAAGACACAAAAAGATGTCTATAGTTTGTTATGCTAATAGTTTGCTGTGGAAACATCTAAAGGTAAGACATTAGGTACTCAGTGTAATGGTCACCTTCATTCCTAACAGCTGCCCTCTGGCAGTGAAAAGAGCGTAATTCTCTCTTGTCTGCTTTTCTCCAGGACAACAATGAGTAAAGCCATCACACAGAAGAGGGCTGTGGTGAAGGACCAGCATGGAAAACGCATTGACTTGGAGCACCTGGAGGATGTACCAGAAGCACTAGACCAGGACGACCTCCAGCGCGATCTCCAGCAGCTCCTTCGGCATTTCTGCAAGGAGGACTTGAAGCAAGAGGCCAAGTGAGGGGCTGCCCAGTTCTCACACCAGAAACCACACATTCACTCAATATGCAGCTTCCTGTTTCAGTAGGGGAGTGACCTAACTGGCCTAATTAATGGGATACCCCGACATTTCCACTGTTAGCAAATATACGGCATTTTGCTTTAGTTTTCCCCCATCCTCTTTAACTATAAAGCTAATTTGTGACCAAAGATGGCATCCTTCATACTGGATGCTGTATCCAATACTTTGTTGTGTCTGTGCTAACCTGGGAACTGGCCACCTCCATTGTTCTTTGCTTCTGCACAAGATCCATGAAAATCCATTGATCAGAAGAACTTCACCTGCAGACCTCTTCAAGTGACACTATGTAGGAATCCTTCCAAGGAATATCTATGTACAATGTATATAGCTGAAATGCTCAGATGAACAACATATTAAAATTAAAACCACTGCCTATTGTAACTACACTGGGCATCAGAATAAAAGGCCTCTAGAAATTGCTGAACAATGGTTAATTAAGATATTGCTAACACAATCGAGTGATAATACAGTTTTACTGCAAAAGAAGCACTTCAAACCTATTATGTCCTTAGAACTTCCAGAGTAGCCACTGCTCCCAGTTAAAGGTGGGTCAGTAGCCTTGCAGAACTGTCCTGAGAAGTTATTGCTGGTGCTGGCCAGCCATGGCTTAGGACTCCAACAGCCACTCTGAGGGAGGGGAGAAGGGAGCAGAGGCCACGCAGAATGAACCGATGGGGTATTCAGTTGCTGGCAGCTACATTGTGTGGCATTCTAGCATCTTCAGGTCTTTAGATCTTGGACAAGTTGGCAGGGTATTTTAAAAGCTATAACTACTGTAGTTTTCCAGTTTTCATTGCTGCTTTAGCAAACCACGCTGTCTTACAGTGGTACTTTCTTCTGGCCACTGCACTGTAGATAATTCATTGGAAACAAGATTTACCCACTACATAAAAGGTTAAACTCCTTCAGTATGTTGGAGTGGTTTCTTTTTTTTTTTCTTTCTTTCTTTTTTTTCTTCAGGTTTATATCTTCTCTAATACCTGCATGTGGCGTTTAAAAATCAAGACCACGGTCAAACCCCTCTTCTAATCACATTAATTGTTTCCATTCTTTTTACCCTGAGTGAGCACTTTTCACTTTCCAGCTAGGTCTGTTTTTCAGCTTGCAGACAAGATTGAGAAATCCTTGAAAATTTGGTTTTGGTTAAAATTTTTGGTTTATTTATTTGAAATCCACACTCCCTTGGAAACTCTTAAGTGCATTTGTGCACTTCTGTTTGTTTGTCTCAAAGAAGGGACTGTAACAATCTGAGTAATTTCCATGTCCTCTTCCTTATTCCTCTAGTGGTTGAAGCTGTGTAGCATTTTAACATATATATATTCACAAATATATTCATATAAACAGTATACATTTTGAATCAGTCATTTGTTAAAGAAAAGTATATTCAATGAAGATGAAATTTAAATAAAAAAGGACAGAGTCTATCCTCCAGGGATTGAACATTTTCCAATTATCTGGTCTTTTCCTGTTGTGCAAAAATGACTCATTGCTCCGAATGTCAAAAACAAATGCGACAAACAATGGCACTTCATCATTTAAAGTAATGTTGCCAAGAGAAAAAATTTCCTGGGAGGGAGGTTTCCCACAAGCCAAATCTCCTAAGCCTCAAATGCTAGCACTTTTTGGCAGTTGGATAGGAAATGAGACATTCTTTGGCAGCCAAAATAAGAGAGGCCGATGGTGAAACTTTTTGAGACACCCTATGGCCTTCTTGTCAAAACCTTCACTGGAGCTCAAGAAAAGCATTTCTGTTGTGTTATTTGCAGTGCAGATGATGTCTGTGTAACAACATAATGGTTATTCACCTTTTTTTGATTTTGATTTTTGCTGTGTTATCAAAAACTTGAATACTGTGAGAAGAAGTGAATTTTCAGTTGACGAATCAGCATCTTGTTCCCATGGTGATAACACTAATTGAATATATCTATGAGGGCATGTATTAGTTAATGGAAAAAAAAATACAACACTAACAATACATAGCTGCAATGTGTACAATGGCTGATTTAATTAAATAAAATGTACAAGTGTTAAATGTGGCAACGGTGATTTGTTCTTCTTTATCATGAATCTGTGATTTCAGGAGAATAAGAGGTTTTAAAAAGTTGAGCTAGACTTGAAACCAACAGAAAGACACAAATTGCTTTTTTTCTTATGGTTTTTATTTAGTCGCTGAATATGCTATATGCCTGGCACTGGATTAAGCACTGGGATAAATAGATTTTGCCTCTGCCCTCAAGAAATTCTTATTGTTCTTGTTATGCAAAAGAAGAAAATGAGGATTTTTGTTTTGGATCACTACTAAATGAAAGAAAATAGGAATTTGGGGACTTGCAGGGGATGAGAAAGGGTAAGTGGGATTGGCAGCACAGCAAGACTGGTTTGGTTCTCTCCCATGAGGCCATGGCTGTCACTAAATACTTTCTGTCTTTGGGAACAGCAGTTGGCTCTGGAGTTTTCTTTCTGTCTTAGAGCCTGAGAATTTAAAATTAAATGGATATATTAATATAAATAAAGACAGGGTAGGACTATGGAAAATCAAAATCAGTTGTGTGTGGAGAGTTTTGTTTCATTTTTTGAAAAATCCCTTTACTGTTGCTTTAATATTTTTTACAGTAAAAACAAAACAAAAAAGACATGATTTAGAAATTGAGTAGGTTTTATTTAAATCTTATCTGGTATGAGACAGGAAGCTCACTGGATCTGATTTCTATCCTTGGTTGATTTACAGGTCTTCTGAACTTAAAATACCAATTATGCTTGACATTTTTCAAAGAAAACAGTTAAAAATAATTCCAAAGTAGGAGTGTCTGTGTGATCATCTCTCTCCTTCTCATTTGTTTAATGTGCTGTACTTTCTACTTACAGGAACTCTGGGCTTGTGTTACTTTGGGTTTGATTAAGGAAATCAAAGCATCAGAGAAGATTCAATGTCTTCTCATGTTTAATTATTTGCTGTGCAAAACCCATTTTTGTAAAAGAACTTCAGTGAGTCATATGCCGTTTTACAGAAGTATATTTAAAGGTAGGGTGGGGGAAACTTCCAGACTGAGAGAAGATTATGCACCACTCATAAATCATTTGTATTAGTCATGAAGAGGTGAAAGTGACATATAAGCACTCGGAAACAGGCTTGAATTGAATTTGAAATTAGTTTGCTCGTGGAGTCACTTGATTTCTGTAAGCATGGAGAGTCTGGGTGTGGGCAAGTAGTCAGGCAAATGAATAAATCAGATAAAGAGAAGTTAAACGTAGGTCTAGTGAGAACCAAAATCACTACGAGGTTCTCCTGAATAACAGAATAAAAATGAACTGCTTGCTTTCATCATGCTCTAAAAGAAAATATTTCAAAGTCTATGTCTTTGGTTGCCACCTCTGCTTAAAAACTATATGCTCCTTCCTTCATTTAAGGTATCATTTCTCTTTCTAATCTAATTGAAGCTAGAATTACAATCATAGACTGAATCACCAAAGTAAGAAAATCTTTTAGATATCTGTGCGGTGGGGATGGAGGGGGCGATGTCCTGAACACAAATTAAAATACTCCTATTGGGTTATACTCAGGCCTTCTGGGAAAAACAAAAGTACTCCCTGGCTTTAAATTAGTTCCACAGTATGAAGTAAATAGTGCATATGGATAGACTTTGGATGGAGCTATTATCTATGGTAAACAGAGACATTTGGCAGTGGCACATGTAATATTTCAAGAGATGTCTTCAGTCACTGGAGACATTCAGTTGTTCAGTTCATGGAATGTTTCCATGAGGCAATGTGACAAATTGGTAAGTGTGTTATCTTACAGTAAGACCTGGATTGGAATCAGTCCAGCTCTGTCTAGCCCCCTTCCATGACTTTGTAAAGGTTTATCGACTGGATGACAATTTCCTCATCAGTAAAATAGGAGACACTGCTACTAGCCTTGGATGCATCTCACTGCTCCAGGCAGGGAAGGTCAGCCAGCCCTGGCCTGTCTGTCACTCCTTAGTGTAGAAGAGCCCCTGTTGTGCAAGTATCCTTGATGTCCGTTCATTGTGGATCCCTGTTTGTGACCCTCTGCCTCTTTGTGTAGGAGTCAGCCTCGGGGTAGGTGTTAAAGGCATTAGCTTACCCCTGTAGGTTAGAAAATACAGTTAAATCTTTTCCTATTATAATGAGAATCACAGGGATGTTGTCAGTTAAGCCCTTCGATTCACTTCCCATTTGGAGGAAGGACTCTTCAGGATCTCTTTCTGTTTCTTCAGTGGGCCCTGTATTAGTCAGGGTTCTCTAGAAGGACAGAACTAATAGGATAGATATGTATACGGGGAGTTTATTAAGGAGTATTAAATCACATGATCTCAAGGTCCCACTATAGGCTGTCTGCAAGCTGAGGAGGAAGGAAGCCAGTCCGAGTCCCAAAGCTGAAGAACTTAGAGTCCAATGTTTGAGGGCAGGAAGCATCCAGTGTGGGAGAAAGATGTAGTCTGGGAGGCTAAGCCAGTCTAGTCTTTTCACATTTTTCTGTCTGCTTTATATTCTGGCCATGCTGGCAGCTGGATTAGATGGTGCCCATCCAGATTGAGGGTGTCCCTGCCTTTCCCAGCCCACAGACTCTAATGTTAATCTCCTTTGTCAACACTCTCACAGACACACCCAAGATCAATACTTTGCATCCTTCAATCCAATAAAGTTGACACTCATTATCAACCATCACAGGCCCTTATAACTCGGTTCTGGTTTCCATTCCTTTTTCTTCCCCCACACTCTCTATTTTGAGGTGTTCTTTTTTTCTTACCTGTCAAAACTGACTACAGAATTGGAGAGAGTCACTCAAACTCCCCTACTGAATGGCTATGCCCCCATTAGCAGCAGGTCCTCCACAGCTGCTACAGAGCATTGTGGGCAGGGTCTGGGCTTGACTGGAGGTGGCTATGGACACCTCAGCTGCCTTTATGATGTGCAGAAAAAACTGAATCATGATATCCACAAAAAATACACATACGCATTGTGCCAGTTTTTCCTGGCTGTTGATCAGAACTCAGACCTCGTCTAGGCTGTGCTACAGAACTCACATGGCACTGGTACAGCAGCAACTTCTGGATGAAAGGTGCCTTGTGTGAATTTTTCAAGTGACTCACAGATAGGTGATACCTTGGAGCCTTAGAGAACGACCATAGCATACCCTTTCTCCTCAAAGAGTCAGGGAGATAATTTAGAGTCTATTGTTCTAACAATCCAATTTGTGTTCAGATTAATGTAGTAGTTTCCTAGGGCTGCCATAACAAAATAGCATGAACCAGATGATTTAATCAACAGAAAGTCATTTTCTCACAGTCCTGGAAGCTAAAAGTCTAAGACTGAAATATGGGCAAGATTTTTTTTTCCTGAGGTCACTCTCTTTGGCTTGCAGACCACCACCTTCTCGCTGTCCTCACATGGACTTTCCTGTCTGTGTGCCCACATCCCTTATGTCTCTGTGTATGTCCAATTTTCTGCATTTTGTAAGGATGCCAATCATATTGAATTACAGCCAACCTTAATGGCCTCATTTAACTTAATCACCTTTTTGAAGACCCCTATCTCCAGATGCAGTCACATTCTGAAGTAGTGGGTGTTAGGGGCTTTGACATGAATTTGGAGGAGGAGAGGACACAATTCATCCCCTAACAATTGGGCTTAATCCAAAAAACAAAGCCCTCTAGGTATTTTAAGAAGGAAGGGATCTAATGCAGGGGATTAGAAACTCACACCAGTGTCAGGAGTGCCACAACAAATGAAGGCAGGTGTAAACCAAAAACGATCTGAGACAGGTCGCAATCAGTTTAGAAATTTATTTTGCCAAAATTGAGGACATGCCTGGGAGATAGGTCTGTGCCTTCTTCGAAAATAATTTTGAGGGCTTCAGTATTGAACGGGGAAAAGCAGGCTGGAGGAGGAAAAGGAAGGGTATGATCACACTACTAAATTCACATGCTGCAAGGGAAAAGGAGCAGGTAGGGGAATACTCAATTATGTATTCGTTTGGCACTCAGTAAATTGGCGCTTTACATAGAGTAGCTACCCGTGGGGATTTTTAACCTTTTATTGTAGCTATCTGCTTAGAAACAAAAGGAAAGTCAGTGTCTTGCTTGACTCAGCTTTCAGCTTAATTTTTTCCTTGTGGCATAGTGCATTGGGGGTCCCAAGCTTTTATTTTCCTTTCACACTGAGGAGCTACTACTGCTACGAAGAAATCCACCAGTGCAGAAATCAGAAATCCAAGCTGCCACTGAAGGGCTCAGATTCATGTAGCAGCAAAGTATATGTTTCTTAGGAGATAGCCCATATATGGCTGCAAAAACACTCCATGTGTCTTCTGCCAGAGTCCATGCACCTCTCCCCAGCTGCTCCCAAAGGTATAATCATTTTTCTTCTCTTTCCTTTTCAAATCTTGGGCAAACAACTTTCATCGGCAAAATCAAATACATAACCCCACTGGAAAGGGATTCCAAAAAATGTATACCTGAGGCTCTTCCCCCAACATGCAGGGAAGAATGTAGAATAGGTCCAAAATAATGCTCAGCTGCTAACAATCAATCACAGTGGCTAAGCCAGAGAATAACAGTCTTCATCCATCCACAAATGCATGCAATTCAAGACCTACTATATTTTAAACATTGTGCTATAGTGCTCAGGGTAGACTGGGCCAAGATCATGGCCCAATGGGTCACTTTTGCTGAGTTTTCACTATTGCCAGTTACTATTCAATGCTCTTCTTTCATCTCCATCACAATCCTAGGAAACAGATCCAGGTGAGGAAACTGAGGGGAAAAGAAATTGAATAACATGCCCCAAATCATGCAGAGAGAAAACGACAAAGCTGGGATAAGAACTCAAGCAAATGGCACCAACAATAAACAACACTCCATCTTTGAAAAACACAGACCCTTCCCTTTGGATTTATAATCTTGCAGCAGAGACATATTGAACTGATCATTTAACAATTAATTAAAAATTACTTTTCTTCCGGAAAAAATTCTTCTTCTTCTGGAAAAATATATTTATAAAGGGAAACAGACCTTATTCAGTAACTTTGTCATTACTATTCTGAAAAATCTCTTTCTTGCTTCTCAAGCCCATTTTCTCTTCCTTATCTGCTTCACATTTGGCAGATGAACTTGACGCTGTTTTATAAGAAAGTAGATGTCAATGGGCATGAATTACTACAATGCTATATTAGGGTTCTCTGGAAAAACAGAACCAATAGTGTGTATGTGCCTGTGTGCATGCATGCCTGTGTGTGTGTGTGTGTGTGTGTGTGCACACATATATAAAGAGATTTATTGTAAGGAATTGTTCCACATGATGATGGAGGTTGAGAAGTCGCAAGATCTGCACTCAGCAGAGTGAGCAGAGCTGATATAGATTCAGTCTGAAGGCAGGCTTGAGATCCAAGAAGAGCCAGTGTTTCCGTTTGAGTCTGAAGGCAAGAAAACTAATAGCTGAAGGGCAGTCAAGCAGAAGTTTTGTCTTAGTTTCTTTTATTTTCTTTTTGTTGTTGTTCTATGTAGGTCTTTGATTGATTGGGTGAGGCCCACCTGTATTAGGGAGGGCAGTCTGCTTTACTCAGTTCACCCATTCAAATGTTAATCTCATTCTACAAACACACTCACAGACATACCCAGAATAGGGTTTAACCAAATATCTGGGCACCCCATGACCCAGTCAAGTTAACACGTAAATTAGCCATCACAAATGCCTTTTCTATTACTACCTCCAAAATTGTCTGTATTTACGTGAACCCTACTACTCATTGTTCTCACAAAGAATGCTCTCTTGTCTCCTGGATTTATGGCCTGTGTCCTTGCTATGGTCTAAATATTATGTTCAAAATTCGTATGTTAAAATCACCCTTGCAATGTGATGGTATTAGGAAGTGAGGCCTTTGGGAGGTGATTCATATGTTGAAATCCTCCACCCTCAACATGATAGTATTAAGAGGTGGGGCCTTTGGCAGGGCTTCACCTTCATGATTCGGATTAGCATCCTTATAAGAGAGACCCCAGAGAGCTAGCTAGTTACTTCTGCCATGCGAGGACACAGTGAAGGTGCCATCCATGAACTGGAAAATGGGCCCTCACCAGACACCAAATCTGCTGGCATCTTGACCTTGGATTTCACAGTCTCCATAACTGTGAGAAATAAATGTCTATGTTTACAAGCTGTCCAGTTTATGGTATTTTGTTACAGCATCCCAAACGGACAAAGACATTCTTGCTGTCCCCTCCCCATCTCCTGCGGCCTTGCTCTGTCATGGTGTGCTCACTGATGATGGCTTTCTCTCCCAGCCTGTGAGCACAGCTTATGAGAAAAATAGATTTATCCCTGAATCCTGTCTTTACACCTAACTAATGCTCTCTTTCTCTCTCTCTTTTCCTTTGCCTTTTTTTCTACATATGCTTTCCTAGTTTTTCATTACTCAATCTTCCTGCAGTGTGGCTTCAAAAAATGCTGAACAGTAAACATATTAGAAACTATGAGATATGGCTAAACAGAGGTCAGAAGAAAACTAAAAGCTTCAAACTAGGGTTCTAATTCCTGTGCTGAGAGTAGCCAGACAGGAAAATAATATGTGAATTGTCTGAACATAGAAAATCAGGAGAGGGGCTGGCCTATGGCAAACTTAAGAGAACATGCCACATATTATATATATTGAGATAAATAGAAACCTTCAATTTATGAAGGTTTTAATGTAGGAAATAAAAATGTGAAAATGCAAAATATATCTAAGAGTTACCTTTTGAAATAATAATATTGATAATGGCTAGTAACATCATCAAGAGGTAAAAGAGAAAGTAGAAATATGCAATGATAAAAAAGAGAATGGAGGCTGAGTGCTGTGGCTCATGCCTGTAATCCCAGCACTCTGGGAGGCCAAAGTGGGAGGACTGCTTGAGCCCAGAAGTTCTAGACCAGCCTGGGCAATGTGGTGAAATTCCGTCTCTACAAAAAAATTTAAAAATTAATGAAATATGGGGATGCGTACCTGTGTTCCCAGCTACCTGGAAGGCTGGGGCAGGAGGATTGCTTGAGCCCAGGAAATTGAGGCTGCAGTTAGCTATGATCATACCACTGCACTCCATCCAGCCTGGGTGACAGAGCAAGACTGTCTCAGAACAAACAAACAAACAAAAACAAAAAAAGGGGGGGGAGATAATTAGAGAGGAAATAATAGATAATAGTAAGAAAATGTTACCTTATTTTTTGTAAGTAAATATAAAAACTCCAATAAGAGAGATGATTTTTAAAAGATAATTAATAAAATCTACCACAGAAGAGATAATAAAGGTAAACCCCAATAACCATAAAATAATTTGAGTCAGCAAATATTTAACCCCACAAGAAAGAATGAGATCTAGGTGCTGTCACAGATGGATTCTCTTAAACTCTCAATACACAGATAATTTTAATACTGAAACCACCAGAGACTCCCAGGAGAAAAATTCCTAGTTTATCTTGTTTTAAGACAGCAAGTATATCATTGGTACCCAAACTGGGCAAATTACATCAAAAGAACCTCAAAATAACACAACAAAAATTCTTAGACCAATTTCACTAAGGAATCTCTTTACAAAAATTACAAATAAAATATAATATAATTGACAATGCATTTTAAAAACAAACTATAAACAAATGGTTTCGTTCCAAGCAAAAATAGTTCATTAGTAATAGCTGTTAATGAAATTCCTCATATTGGAAGATTAAAGGAGAAACAACCACATACCAATGTTTCCATAGTTGGCCAAGAGGCATTTGGTGAAATTTAGCATCCATTTCATGTCCTTTTAAGAAAGTAGGAAGGGATGTATTCTTCCTGAAGGCAATCAAATTATGTATGTGTATGTGTATGTATGAATTGCATTTCCTTTACAAATGATCAAATAATCCTTTGTTAAGAGCACTTAAGTTACAATCATTTTAGCGTAGCTTTTGCAATAATTTGCAACAACAGAAAAAACCTTATCTCTGATTTCTCACCCAACACAACCACATCTCTCCTCTTGCCTGCCTTGTGCTGGCCCTCAGCATCACCAATTAAACCATTCATTTTTATTGTGGTTTTTTTTTTAATAAAGATGGGGTTTTACCGTGTCACCCAGGCTGGTCTCAAACTCCTGGACTCAAGTGATCCACCTGCCTCAGCCTCCCAAAGTGCTGAGATTACAGGTGTTAGACACACACCTGGCCTATCATTCCTTTTAAAATTGGTATCTAAATTGTTAGCTCATCTGCTTACAAGGTGATATCAGTTAGGGAGTATTTATGAATTCTTTCTTGTAAAAAGGTCAAAATCCTCATACATTTATTAAGAAACACAAAGAGAAAGCAAATTGAAGATTCTATTGTCACATAATACAGTTAGAAAGAATTTACTTTTAAGATGTAGTTCACAATTGATTTTGATTTTAACTAGAATTTGTGCTTCATCAGGAATACCTTTTACTTCATGCCTTTTTATCTTGTAACTTTTTTTTTAATTTAATTACGGGAACTAAGAAGGGGACACATGCTCCTCACACCAAAATTCATCTTGTTTGAAGATGAACACTGGGAGCATTTCTGCTTTAAAACTGAGAATAAGACAATAAAGTCCCCTATGTCCTTAGTGGCATAACATTAAAGGCAAAGTATTAAAGGCATAATATTAAAAAGGAAGTATTACTCAATTCAATACAATGGACAAAAAACAAGAAATACAGTATAAAAATAAAAAAAAGAATAGGTAAACATTGTCAATATGCAAACGATGTTTGTGAATCAGGAAAGCCAAAAGGAACCAACTGAAAGAAAAATTACTGTCAACCATTTGGTCACTCTTTTCAACTCATCATAGAATATGTCTAACTTTCCTTAACACACACACACACACACACACACACACGCACACACACACACACACACAGACCCCTCCAAATTAAAAATAAAAATGAAGGGAATTTTATATATCATTTACAATAGAGAATAAATGCCTAGTTATACATTTAGAAAGAGCCTATTTTAAAATGTTTCAAGTTTTTACTTCCATAAATGGAGGGACTTGCACTAACTTATATATATATAGGCATATAACAATTTAAATACATCAATTCCTTCTTAATTTATTTCTTAATTTAATAAGATCACCATAAAATTGCTTATAGGATTTTAATTTGAGTTGATAGGAAGAAAAAACAAGAATGTGAATTAATCAAGAAGATTCTATGGGTAAGAAAAAAAGGAATGTTGTCACCTGACTCAGTAGACCTACCGGATATTAAAATATATTTTAAGCCACTGTTTGTAAAACAGTTTAGTACTAGAGTAGCAAGAGACAGCGAGAGCAATGAAATAGGATGGGGAATCAATGGAAATTTGGCACATAATAAATACAGCATTTCAAATGAAGCCTAGACACTATAGTGTTAGGTCAAATGGCTGCTAATTCGGGGCAGGAAACAAAGCTGAATGCCTATGCGTTACCTTCACCAAAATCCCTTATAGATAGCTCAATTATTTACATGTAAATTTTTTTTAAAGAACCCGTAAAAGTAATAAAAGAAAGCTTAGGCAAACGGTTTATTACCTTTGGTTAGGAAGATCTTTGTAGGCAAGAAAAAAATCATGGTGGAAAAAAATAATACATTTGACCATATAAATATTTTAACTTTCCATGCAGAAAGAATATTATAAGCTAAATTAAAAGATAAATGGAAAAGCATAAATTTACTGTCCAAAAAAGTCTCATATGCCAACAATTTAACAGAAAAAAAAGCAAAAAATATGAACAAGCTGTTCACATAGGCACACAAAAACATTCAAATGACTTGTTTACCTGGGAAAATATCCTGGTCTCATCGATAATGAAAGAAATCATAAATCAAAACATTAAGATGCAACTTTTTAACCCATCAATTTCGAAATAATTACAACTTTTATAAGACCAAGTGGTCGCCCAAGAGTGGGAAAACGGGGCACTCATAGGCCAGTGGGAATGAAAAATAATGCACGAAGACAACACCTTTCAGAATTAAACATTTAGAAACTCCTTTGATTCAACAATTCTACTATAAGGAATTTATTGATCATCTCCATGCAAAAGGAAGATATTGTACCTTTTAAAAAATCATAGTAAAAATATTCAAATTTTATATCTATAACAGGATGCATAATGGAACATGTATAGCTGTTATCTTCAAGATATGTCTTGGCCCGAGCGTGGTGACTCACGCCTGTAATTGCAGCACTTTGGGAGGCCGAGGAGGGCAGATCACTTGAGCTTAGGAGTTCAAGACCAGCCTTGCCAACATGGTGGAACCCTGTCTCTACTAAAAATATAAAAATTAGCTGGGCGTGATGGTGCATGCCTGTAATCCCAGCTACTTGGGAGGCTGAGGCTTGCAGTGAACTGAGATCGTACCACTGCACTCCAGCCTGGGCAACAGAGAGTCTAAAAAAAAAAAAAAAAAAAAAAAAAAGATATATCTTATATGAGTAAGTAAGGTCCAGAGGAGGCGGCAGAGCACGTACTCACATTTGTGTAAAATGTAATTTATGTGTAAACATGTGGATTTATTCATAGTTGTTCTCCAGGTCTCTATAAAAAGGGAGACTCATCAAGTACTATGTAGTTTCTTTCTTGCCCCTTCCTTCCTCCCTCCCTCCCTCCCTCTCCTCCTTCCTTCCTTCCTTCCTTCTTTCCTTCCTTCCTTCTTTCCTTCCTTCCTTCCTTTCTTCCCTCCTTCCTTCCTTCCCCCCTTTCCTTTCTTCCTCTTTCCCTCCTTCCTTCATTTCTTCTTTGTTTGTCTTTCTTCTTTATCTTCTCTTTAATCATATGCTATTTAAAGGAAGGGTAGATGATCTAGTTATAAATAATCAAATACAACAGAAATAGATACTGGCAGTGAAATGTTGTTAATATATAAACAACACTTTGGTTTTAAATAATTGGAGAGGTGAGTTAAACATAGGAAAGCTGTAAATACTCAAAAAGAGCAATACCTTACATGATTTGTATGAAAAAAATGCAGTTACTTGTAAATATAAATAATAAAAACATCCAGTAGTTTTGACTTACACTGCATTATAGAGACAACACATGCAGACTTTGTAACCTGCCTGGTGAGCCTTCTGCAAATAAACGGCTCTTGTGGTACTGTGTCATTTCTTACCGTATAGAAGATAATTTCCCAAACTAGCCACTAGAGGGCAGCAGACAATCAGTCATTTGCCTTAGGAGTGGCTTCCACACTAGACTGGAACTTTCCGAGCTCCTTAGCTTTGTAACTGGAAACATTGCTGAACTTTTCTAGATCACAGTTTCACCTGTAAAATGTGGAGAGACTTGTGGACTGGCTGACTCTAAAACCTTTGCCAGCTCTAACAGGCCTCGATTTTAACACATAGTTGTATTCTCATAGTGCCCATTAAGTTAAACTGTATTAAAGTTCAACCATCAAACAAACAAAAACTAAGTTCAAATGTGTTTAGATATTATTCCTTCTTTCAAACATCGCTAACGGTTCTTGAGAGCCTCTTATGAGCCAAATATTGCTCTAAGCACTTTGCTGGCATTGTCATTTACAAAACACTCCTGTTGAGGTAAGTGCGGTTCTGGTGTCCACTTTGCAGATGAGGTTGGTGATGTACACAGACGTAGAGTAACTTGTCCAAGCTCTCACGGTTAGAAAGATAGGTCCAGAATGGTAGGGTCACATTTGTAACAGCTCCATTACACTAGGAACTATTAGTGCGATGAAAGGCAATAAAATGTCTAAGAAAATGGTAATAATTGCATCTGGCTGGCGATTCACAGTTTTTCCCTTACAGAAAATGACTTTCTTGTGAGCGTTTTGGGGTACAGAATCACATAATTACATCCTATACCTTGTTACTTAAGTAATATTTACTTACCGTAAAAGCAAATAATAATTTACAACCACTGTTGATCTCTGGGCTAATCTCCATCAGCCCCCTTCCCCAACATCCACCTCTCAAACCCCACCAGCGGTGAGTGTAGCCTCAGGCAGTGTGCCCTCCGCAGCTGCCTCCTGCTCCACTGCAGTTCTCACACCTGCTCCCTGAAATGTTTCTTCCCCAACCCGTGAGAAGCTCTTCCAAGAAACACCCCAAGTATGGTCTCCCCACAGGTTTTCTTGTCTCTACAAGGTCGTCTAAGGTGCTCTTTCTTGCGTCTCTCTACTTCAGCGACAATCTCACTGTAGTATATTCACTTTGTTGTTTTCCCAACCAGAATTCAGCTCTTTTATGTCAGATCCTTTCTCTGTTTTCATCTTTGTACTCTAAGGTATAGCATAGTACTTGGAATATAGTAGATAATAATTATTTACTGAAAGGGTACATGAAGGTGTGAATGCAGACTTTCCAAACCTTTGCTATGAGGACTTTTAACAAGTCTGCGTTTTACATAGATTATTTCTTTTTCTTGCCAATGACCTTAATGGTTTTGGATAACTTCAAATAATTCTCTGACTGGGTTCATTTAACTGTTTGCAATGACAATTCTTTTGTTATCTTTTAAGTCATTTTTCCCAGGTACTGTTGGATGCTGAAAACTGTATTAACCATCTTTAGGTACAGACAGGTAATTTTGAGAGCCAGAATTAGATCTTAATTGCAGAGGCGTAGGATTGTCAAAACCAATACTGTGTGGTTGAGTCCTGATATCTACTGGAGGCATTAACAACTCGTGTGAAAGTAGAGAAGTAGCTATTTATTGATTTTTCTTTTTGAGACGGGGTCTCGCTCTGTTGCCCAGGCTGGAGTGCAGTGGCATAATCACTGCAGCCTCGACATCCTGGGCTTAAGTGATCCTTCTACCTCACTCAGCCTCCTGAGTAGCTGAAACTACAGGCATGCACCACCGTTCTTGGCTTTTTTTTTTTTTTTTTTTTTTGTAGAGATGGAGTTTCAGTTGGCCTTGAACTCCTGGGCTCAAGCAATCTGTGAACTACCATCCCCGGCCTACTTATCAATTTTTGAAGAAATAATTAAAGTTAGAGTCACATAACTTTTACGCAGAAACACCTTGTATACACCAGGGAGTCACTGGATTGAAAACATTCTTGCTGATGCTAAAACTGCTTCTTTTCGCAGGTGCTCGGGATTCAGGCTAATATTATGCCTGAGGGTTAATCATTGACCCCTCTAGAGTCAGCTCTGCTGGCTTTTGTCTGGTTGCAAACCAGTCTTTGGATCTGCCTCCAACCTTTGGTGCTTTTTTTGTAAAATGTCTTACTAAAATGGATGCCCTTCTATTCACCAGGATATATGGCATCAATGCTCAAAATACTTTAACCCTCATAATTTTCTACATTTAGAAATGTCTCCTTGACCTATGTTTTTAATAGCATCTCATCCCACCTCCTCTTAATCCTTTTATCTCTCTAAAACATAAATTTCTTCCTCTTTGCCTAAAAAATATGCTTAAACTTTTTCTAGCCTAAACTGAAATAACCTTCAGTAGAATTCGGTATTTCCCTGAAGTACATTCCATTTCTCTCTCCATTCATGCCAGGATTTTCAACTAACATTCCTGGACAGTGGGGAGAGCCTGGAGAAATGAGAAACTGCGTGAGCAAAACCAGGGAGGAGGGAGCACGTAAGGCACATTCAGGGAAGTCTTGCTGCTGGAGGAAGTTAGTTTTGGCGAATGATCTAGTTTTGGGTAAATCTGAAAGATTTTTTTTAAAACTTAAATTACGGAAATTCTTGAATGCCAAGCTGTGGAGTTTGGATGTTATGTGTTTGACCATGTACAACCACAGCAGAAATGTGCTCAGCAAAGCCCTGGGTGGAATGGATTTAAGGGGTTCAGATGGGAGGCACAGAAGCTTCAGTGTGGTCTAAGAAGAAGGCCCTGACCAACCCTGAAAAGAAAGTTAAAAGCCTGGTGCTGTTATTAAGATGAAACTTCTTGAAAATAAGATTATTGGAAAACAGAATGCTTTTTACCAAGGACAGGGTTTATTAATATAAGCTGTAACTGGTATTCAGAAATGTGTTTATACCTGGGCTTTACACACAGTTGAAATTTTTAAATGAGTGTTACTATATGTGAGGTGAATGTTATTTTGCAAAGGAGAAACGTTTTCAAAAAATGAAGTGGGCCGGGCACGGTGGTTCATGCCTGTCATCCCAGCACTTTGGGAGGCTGAGGTGGCAGGATCACGAGGTCAGGAGATCGAGACCATCCTGGGCAACATGGTGAAACCCCGTCTCTACTAAAAATACAAAAATTAGCTGGGCGTGGTGGCACGGCCTGTAGTCCCAGCTAACGGGGAGGCTGAGGTAGGAGAATCGCTTGAACCCAGGAGGCAGAAGTTGCAGTGGGCTGAGACTGTGCCACTATACTCCAGCCTGGCAACAGAGCAAGACTCCGTCTAAAAAAAAAAAAAAAAAATGAAGTGAGAGGGATTCGGAGGCATGGTGTCGCCTTCACTGCCATGTGAGTGTGTGTGTGTTTGTGTGTGTGTATAGAAGAGAGAGAGATTTGACCAGCACCCCTCACCCATCCTCTTCTCCTTCTCCCTCTGGCTCTCTGGACCCCTTGGGCTGGCTGCTGGCTCACCAACACTCTGTGTTGGGGCAGCCTCTCCTCGCCGTGTCTTCATATCCAGTCCTTCGCAGGCCAGCTCAGGACCAGTCACCCCGAGCTGCTTTTTCCACCTGACTCTTCTGCGTTCTTAACCTGTAAGTATCTGGAAGCTCAGGCCATACCAAAGTAGACCTGCCTCTTTTCTTTGCTCTGCCACCACAGGCCACTCGGGACTCCTCTGGCCTGAGTCAGGCTATCTCAATTTCCCAAATCCCAGCGGACACACGCCTATCTTTGCATGCGGCCTCCTCAAAGCTCCGCAGGCTTAGCTGGGGGCATGAAGGAGAAATTCACAGGACATCAGCAATCTCTGCAAAGTACTCCACACCACCAGGCCCAGCTCTACCCTTACCTTCCCCTTTTTACTAGATTCTTCCAATGTGACTGATGAGTTAGGGTTGTCAAACTGGTTTCACAGACTCTTAGCCTGTCCTGCAAGGGGAAATGGTTAAGCACCTAGAATTCTTAACCTTCAGGGCTCCACAAAAACTTCAGGCTCTCAGTCAACAGGAAAAGTATCATTTAGCATCTGATACACACCTCCACCACCACATACACATAACGCACATACACACACACACACCTACACATATATACACATACACACATCCTACACATACATACACACACCTACACATATATACACATACACCTACACATATGTACACATATACACACACCTACACATATATACACATACACCTACACATATGTACACGTATACACACACCGACACATATATACACATACACACACATTTACATATATATATACACACACACATCTACACATACACATATACACACATACATGCACACATCTACACCTATACATACACACACACCTACACATACACACACCCCCATGCATACACACACACATACACATACGCACAAACACATACACATATACATGTACATATACACGCACACCTATGCATACACACACCTACACATTATACACACATATGTCCCTACCTATACACATGTATACACACACATATCCCACACATACACGTACACATACACACAAATACACATATACATATACATGCCTGCATATACACACAAACACACACATATACATACACACACTGATGTATACACCTACAATGTACATATAAACACACGCATACACCTACACACACACACACACAAACACGAAAGAAAGGCTAGATGAACAGTAGTCATCTTTGAGCACAACAATTAGTTCTTAGACTTTATCTTTGTGTATTTCTGTATTTTCCAAGTTTTCTCCCTTGAAATTATATTACTTGTACAAGTAACAAAATAGTAAATATTTCAAAATATAAGAAAATATAAGCAAAATAAATTTATATAATACATCTGATATGGTTTGGCTGTGTCCCCACCCAAATCTCATCTTGGATTGTACTCCCATAATTCCCATGTGTCGTGGGAGAGACCCAGTGGGAGATAATTTGAATCATGGGGGCAGTTTCCCCCATACTGTTATCATGGTAGTGAATAAGTCTCACGAGATCTGATGGTTTTATCAGGGGTTTCTGCGTTTACATCTCTCTCATTTTCTCTTGCTGCCACCATGTAAGAAGTGCCTTTCACCTCCTGCCATGATTCTGAGGCCTCCCCAGCCATGTGGAACTGTAAGTCCAGTTAAACCTCTTTTTCTTCCCAGTCTCGCGTATGTCTTTATCAGCAGCGTGAAAACAGACTAATACAGTAAATTGGTACCAGTAGAGCGGGACATTGCTGAAAAGATACCCAAAAATGTGGAAGTGACTTTGGAACTGGGTATCAGGCAGAGGTTGGAACATTTGGAGGCTGGAGGGCTAAGAAGAAGATAGGAAAATGTGGGAAAATTTGGGACCTCCTAGAGACTTCTTGAACGGCTTTGACAAAAATGCTGATAGTGGTATCAACAATAAGGTCCAGGCTGAGGTGGTCTCAGATGGACATGAGGAACTTGATGGGAACTGGAGCAAAGGTGACTCTTGTTATGTTTTAGCAAAGATATTGGTGGCATTTTGCCCCTGCCCTAGAGATTTGTGGAACTTTGAACTTGAGAGAGATGATTTAGGGTATGTGGCAGAAGCAATTTCTAAGCAGCAAAGCATTCAAGAGGTGACTTGGGTGCTGCTAAAAGCATTCTGTTTTAAAGGAGAAACAGAGCATGAAAGTTCAGAAAATTTGCAGCCTGATGATGCCTTAGAAAAGAAAAACCAATTTTTTTGAGGAGAAATTGAAGCTGGCTGCAGAAATTTGCATAAGTAACAAGGAGCCAATTGTTAATCCCCAAGATGATGGAGAAAATGTCTCCAGGGCATGTCATAGATCTTCAGAGCAGCCTCTCCCATCACAGACCATGAAGCCTAGGAGGAAAAAATGCCTTTGTGGACCAGGTCCAGGGTCGTCATGCTGTATGCAGCCTAGGGACTTGGTGCTTTGCGTCCCAGCTGCTCTAGGCATTGCTAAAAGGGGCCAAGGTACAGCTCGGCCAATGGTTTCAGAGGGTGCAAGCCCCAAACCTTGGCAGTTTCCATGTGGTGTTGAGCCTGCGGGTGCACAGAAGTCAAGAATTGAGGTTTGGGAACCTACACCTAGATTTCAGAAGATGTATGGAAACGCCTGGATATCCAGGCAAAAGTTCACTGCAGGGGAGGCGCCCTCATGGAGAACCTCTGCTAGGGCAGTGTGGAAGGGAAATGTGGGGTCAGAGTCCCCACACGGGCTCCCTACTGGTGCACTGCCTAGTGAGCTGTGAGAAGAGGGCCACCATCTTCCAGACCCCAGAATGGTAGATCTACTGACAGCTTGCACCGTGCACCTGGAAAAGCCACAGATACTCAAGGCCAGCCTGTGAAAGCAGCCAGGAGTGGGGCTATACCCTGCAAAGCCACAGGGGCAGAACTGCCCAAGACTATGAAAACCTACCTCTTGCATCAGTGTGACCTGGATGTGAGACATGGAGTCAAAGGAGATCATTTTGGAGCTTTAGAACTTGACTGCCCCGCTGGATTTTGAATTTGCGTGGGTCCTGGAACCCGTTTGTTTTGGCCATTTTCTCCCATTTGGGATGGCTGTATTTACCCAATACCTGTACCCCCATTGTATCTAGGAAGTAACTAGATTGCTTTTGATTTTACAGATTCATAGGTAGAAGGGACTTGCCTTGTCTAAGATGAGACTTTGGACTGTGAACTTTTGGGTTAATGCTGAAATGAGTTAAGACCTTGGGGAACTTTGGGGGATTGGTTTTGAAATGTGAGGATATGAGATTTGGAGGGGCCAGGGGCAGAATGATATGGTTTGGCTCTGTGTCCCCACCCAAATCTCATCTTGAATTGTACTCCCATAATTCCCATGTGTTATGGGAAGGACCCAGTGGGAGATAATTTGAATCAAGGGGGCAGTTTATCTACCACTGTTCTCATGGTAGTGACTAAGTCGCACGAGATCTGATGGGTTTATCACGGGTTTCTACATTTGCATCTCTCTCATTTTCTCTTGGCACTGCTATGTTAGAAGTGCCTTTCACCTCCTGCCATGATTCCTAGGCCTCCTCAGCCATGTAGAACTATAAGTCCAATTAAACCTCTTTTTCTTCCCAGTCTCAGATATGGCTTTATCAGCAGCATGAAAACAGACTAATACAATATCTTGTGCTTTAGTCTAGTAAAACTTCTTAGAGAGAGACAACTTTCTCCCTAAATGACCCATTAGATCCATTTCTGTTTGTGAAACTTTATAGTTTTGTTCTTTATCTTGCAAAAATACTTACTAATTTGTACATTAAAATCAGTGAAATATGTATATATTTTAAATTAGCATATATTAAAAGGAGACCTTACAAATGTACTGATTTACATTTGGTTGAAGTTCAATTTGGGGCATTATATTGCATTAGAAATTGTTTTGGTTCTTAAATACTTACTTAGAAAATCTGATTGGCCGGGCATGGTGGCTCACGCCTGTAATCCCCACTCTTTGGGAGGCAGAAGGGGGCTGATCATCTGAGGTCAGGAGTTTGAGACCAGCCTCGCCAACATGGTGAAACCCTGTCTCTACTACAAATACAAAACTTAGCTGGGCGTAGTGGTGGGCGCCTGTAATCCCAGCTACTTGGGAGGCTGAGGCAGGAGATCCCTTGTACCCGAGAGGTGGAGGTTTCAGTGAGCCGAGATCATGCCACTGCACTCCAGCCTGGGCAACAGAGCAAGATTCCATCTGAAAAAAAAAAATCTGATTAATGCATAAATGTTTTTCTTTTCTTCCAGATAACTACAAAATAACCCCTGAATCATAGACATATCAACAAAATATGTGAATCACACATCAACAAAATCTCTTTCCTATTACAAGACTAGGGGTTCTCAATATTATCACAATTTTGATTTGATGTACCACAGTCTTCCACCTTGTCACTGCTTATGAAATTCACCCACTGGTGACCCTGAATTTGATCAACAACAAAAACTGAACAAATATATTAAAATGTATGTTGGAACTTTCACTTTCAAAAAACATTTTGAAAACAATTTTTATAAACCAAATCTGAACCTGAGTATATGTATAAGGATGTTAACATTCTTTCTTTTTTATATTTTTGTCTATTCCTGTGACAGATTACCAATGTGAATAGTCTTTCTTAATTATCTATTCTGGTTACCATGGGGTTTGAGAGTGATAATGGATCACATAACCTGTTCTATGAGTTCTGAACCAAATGGGAAAAAAGATTTAGGAGTAAGTATCAGCTTCATTTTAGTAAATAAAAATTGGATTAGGCATTGATTTGAAACAAAAATTGGGATCCCTACTCCTTCCCCACTTCTTTGTAGTGACTTTCCCACCCATGCCAAGAGCTCCTCTCTTTGGCAGTTTGAGGAATAAAAATATAAATACCATTCTTACTACCAAACACATTTGAAATCTTTCTTCCTGTTGCTAAAAATGAAGGTCTCTAGACAAAATGAGGCATTTGGTGTATCGCCTCTCTCAGTGCCCATGGTGGTTATTTCAATAGTGCTTTACTAAGGATTTATTTCCTTCTTTTAGATTAAATGAGTGGAATTAATGACCATCAAAATGAACAGAGTGCATGGTGAAGATTTTTAAAATAAGAATTCAGTTTCAGGAGGACAGCACAACAATGTTTGTTAGTCTTCCTGTTTGGCTTAGGAATGAATAAACAGATCATATGCCATCATCCCCTTCCCTATCGAAGGAAGATCTTGTAACTGAGCTATCCCAGAAACAACCTGAGTCCTGCAACAAATGGAAACTGATGAATAGAGGTCTTATTTGTTTCTGGCCCAGATTCCTCAATAATGGTCCAAGATTTTATGCAGAGAACAAAGATTTGTTGTTGATCCAGGGTTTTGTATTAGGAGCCAATGCGAATGAAAATCTAAGAGCTGAGTAGAGTTCAGTGGTCTCTCGTTGTTGGGGAAGAAGGATAGGAGAGAAGATGAGGAAGAAGGCATCTCTATTCTACCTCTCTGACATAGCTCATGTTCTCCTCCAGCCCCAGCTCCTGCAGTAAAGGAGGTCAGCTCAGCTCAGCTCAGATGAGGTCTGCCCATCTCCCAGAATATGGGCAACTCCAGATGTGTATGTGGAGGTAAAGTTCATTTCAAAGGAAAAATAATTCTATCTATGCCTCAGAAAATTCCTAATGCCCAGCGCATAGTGAGTGCTCAATAAATGCTGTTCTACTAAACTGAAATAGTTCCACTAACCTAAAATGAAATAGTTTAAATTAGAGTGAGCAGTAAATCCCAAATTAGTCCAAAAGATCAAAACTTATTTGAAAGCAGGTACAAATCTGAAAAGTATCCACCACCATCACTTTGTCCAGTAGGATCCAATGGCCATAGTGACCCAGAGCTTGATTACTAGATGTGAGCTCCACCTCACTCTGTGGGAAGCCCAGCTGTAAGCATCGGAGGTCTGTTAACCCCTGGAGGAGAAAGGACATCATGTACATTCGCCAGCACATGGTGGGTGCCCAGACCATACAGTGGAGTTCCCTGAAACATGCCCCAGAGAACAGCAATCACCCATGGGAGCTGTTTCCTCAGTTAGGAGGAGAGAGAAGCCAACCCATCCATCCAGGTAAACATGAGGAAGATGGAATTTGGCCTTATTAAGTCTGTCAACATTCATGCAAAGTTGTGAAACACACAAAGGTCACTCTCGCCCAGTCTTTCAGGGTCCTGGTCTCTTCTCTGTTTATGTATTCCTCGCTTTTCAAATGTCCTCTCCTTCCTGACTCATGCTGTAATCAGTTCTCAGTAAATCTCTGATTGAAGCATTTAAGAACAAATTACTAAGAAAGCATGATATTTTATATATCCCAGATAGGTATGTCTTTTATTGGGGATGAACAAAGAAAAAAAGCCTTAATTCAAAGGAGTATATTTTCAAAAGTGAAATTTCAGGCAGGGTGTTAGGATAGGCTAAACTGTCATCCAAGATTCAAACACAATGGAATTTTATTTCTCGTGCACCTAACAGTCCAGTGTGGATATTTGGGTTATTGGACGGATTTCCTTTATGTGGTCATTCAGAGCCCCTCTGGTGAGGCCTCTGGTTATATGCAGCCAGAAGTGGAGGGGAAGGAGAGTGTGGAGGCCCAGCTGCTGTCTTGAGAGCTCAGATTCAGGAGAAGCACTCCATCTGGGCTGATCGTTCACCGAGAGAACTTAGTCACATGGTCTCCTCCTTTGCCAGTTGCTGTTGTTTTATTCTGGAAGTAAAGGAATATGGATTTTGGCAGACAACCAACAGTCTCAGCCCAAATCAACAGCCCACAGTGTGGAGATTTGTTGCTTGGGAGGGGTGCAGACAAAGAGGAAGATGATCTTCTTCCTAATGTGCCTTCAACTGTGTCCTGTAGCTCCTCATCACCTCCACCTAAGCTGAAGCCCAGTGCTGCTGATGCAATGAACTCCCAGGAGTTTTCAAATTTACTAACATCATTTTAACTCTCTGTGGCTCAGCCTAGGTTTGTAACAGTAGAAAAGTACAATGTGGACCTGCATATCACTGGCCAGTAGATCTTCAAGAGCCAGCTCCTTCAGGCTCCAAGCAGACCCTGAACTCAAGGGTAAATCACCAACGTCCTGAGATGGGAAGGTGCAGCTTGATCCCACTCACTAACTCGAAGCCTTTGCTTTGCTGGGGATCATCCAGGCTACTGACTTCTCCTTTTCCCTGGTTTCTTCTCTTTTCCCAGACAAGTTGCACTGCTGATCATCAGCAGACAAGTTGCACTGTTGATCAGCACCTGAACCAGGTGGTGCCGAGAAGGAGACAGAGATGATGAAATAAACATCAGCTTGGTAATTACTTCTTAAGCCTGATGAAAATAGAGTTGACCGGTTGCAGCTGAAATGTAGTTAAGACTGTGGATAATCATCCTTTATCTCCTCCTGGTCTCATAAGCACTGATGCTTGAGAGGTGTCTGGAAGATTATGCAGTGCTCTAAATTTATCACATATTCATGTTAAGAAGAGTTTAATGCATTTTTCTGTGTATAATGTGTAACCAGAAATAATTGCAACAGTGAAGATTTATTGAAAGATTATGTGTCAGGTATGATCTTAAATGCTTTATGTACATGGTTTCATTAAATTCTCTCTACAACCCTGGGTGGTAGATACTTTTATTATCCCTGTTTCATAGTCAGGAAAATTGGGACATGAAGGGGCTTCCTGACTCACCAAGTGTGCATACCTACTCGGCAGCGAGGCAGTGCTCAGAGGCAGAGACCAGAAGTTGAACCTTTGCACTCTTCATCCTCCCTACTCCGGTAGCAAACTCTAAATGCTCATTTCTAAAGAAAATAGGGTGCACATGTTTTTCTTTTGAGAAAGTGAATTAATCTGTGAAGTTCTTCTTGCCTCCATAGGATTAGAATAGAATGAAGTATCTAGCCAGGAGTCAAGAATTCCATGCTATGTTGCTGACTCAGCCATTAAAGCAATTTTCCCTGGACGGTCTTCACCAAATGACTGGGAAATAAAATGTCATGGAATTGAGACCACCCATATACCCCCAGCCCACTATAAGGGGAGAAGAAAGCTAGCAGCAAATGAAAATGGAAGCAGAGGGAAGAAGCCATACCATCACCCTTGTTCCTCCATCTGGAGGCAGAATAGATGCTGCTCGTGCCATCGCTGTTGAATTAGTTTATGAAGGACACCTCCTGTGAGGTTAAATAGCAACTGTGGGCTGCCATCACATGTTGTACTAAATCCTCTTCTGCCCTTTCTGTTCTATAACTCAACAAATGGTAAACACTCCTCTAGTGAGTGCCAAAGAAGGGAGCAATAACTACCGAGCAGGCATCTCAGGTCACCTGGGGACACACCAATAGCTGTGCCTAATGATCAGATCAGAAAGCCCAATTAAACTCCAGAGAGTTCCTTTGAGCAATCACTGACAGGGCATTGACTTCTGTATGGCCTCAGCAATGCAGAGCACCTGGAAAAGGGCTCATTAGCTACAGGAAGCCTCTTTCACCGTTCGACTGCAGCTCCAACTCAGAAACATGAAACTCTTGGCAGGTAGCTCTGTCAGCAGCTCAGGGGAATCTTTCCTTTGGTTTCAGTTCATAATATTTGGCAACGTCTGCAGTCACCTGTGAAGAAGCTAAAAATCCACGGTAAGAGGCAGCCAACTCACCCGTTCATAATCGTTACAGGTATGCGTACTATTTATTTATTGTTGTCCTGTTCTAAGCATTGCAAAGCACTTTTGAGAATGTGTCTCTCGCTCAAACAGATTTTTTTTTGTGGTGTTTTTCCTCTTCAGAGATTGCCCTTTTGTATGTTTGGTTTCGTAATGCCCCCAAAATAATGTATCGCACTTATTGTCACTATTTGTTTTGGCACATTTGATGTGCCCTGCAGAGACGTTTTATGATATATTTTCCTAGATATATAAATTAATTCCATTCATAGTGAGTGACTACAGAGATGGCTGCAAAGCAAACTTTCAATCACACAAGTGTCTCTTTCCTTTATTTAGTAAGTCTTTATTTATGACCCACGATGTGCCTGGCACTCTTTTAGGTCCTGAAAATAGAGCAACAAAGAAGAGGCAGAGATGCCTCACCTTACAGGAAGGAGAAATCTTCATAAAAAATGAATAATATATATAACAACGAAGAGGATAAAGGTCCTATTGAGATGAACAAATCAGGGAAGTACAATAGGAACTAGAGCAGATGGGTGGGCTTGTAGTTTTGAACAGAAGTGAGCAGGGAAGGCCTCACCAAAGTGACTCTTAGCAAAGACCTGAAGGGGGCCAGGGAGACAGGCTTGCAGCCACCTGGCCAATGGCGAGGAGAGTGGCTGAGCAAAGAGAGGCCTGAGTGTGGGGATTTGCATCCAGGTGGATTCCTTTTGATCCTGGTGTTGTAAAGGGATACAGCTGTATAGTGACTGGCCATTCTTCTGACTAAAACCTATACAATTAACTAACTGGTTTGGGAGAATAAAATATTGTGAAGAACTCATTTGGCCTTAAATGGCCATGTTTGTACAAACAGATCTGACTGTTTTATTGTAAAAATTTGAATTCTGAGAAGATAGAATATATTTTATCAAAGAGCTGATTTAACTATGTTTCTTTTTGGAGCAATTATTTTTATGATAAGTAAAAGAAAAGTTTACTCATACAGAGAAAAATTCAAGAAGGTATGAGGCACTGATCAAATAAATTCAGGTAAAAGTCTTCCTTCGATGGCAAACAAATCTGACTTGATTTTCTAGCTTTTATCAGTTAAATACATCTAATAATTTTAAAGCATTTCATGTTGTAAGCCTGAAATGATCCACATCTCTGACTCTGCTATTATTAATCGAGAATATACCTCAACACTTTTGTGTGTATGTGAAAGCAAAAATTCTGGTCATCCCTTTCATATCTCAATAACCCCACTGGGAAATCCTTCGGTGCTTATGCAATCATTATACTCCTCTCAAATATGAGAAGCTGTAGGTGAGGGAAAGGGTAAGAAAGCAAGGATGCTGTAACCCTTTAGCAGGTTTTGCTCAATGATGACACTGCCAAAAGCCCAGAGAGAGTAGCTGAGCATCCCCCAAGCCTATCCTATGCATTCAGAGAGGGGACCCCACTCTGCTCTGGGCCCATAGTGGGCACATCACACTCTCAGATTCTCTGAATATCAGTACAGTTTCTGCATCAGCAAGCGTTTAGAAAACTTTTCAAAGTGGACATAATGATTAATTTAGTCTTCAGAGGTCAAAGTCTGGTTCTATTATTTTGAGTAAGTGACAGCACAAGGAAAGCCAAAGGAATGAGCCCCAGGAGTTCTGGCAATGCCTGGAAGGTTCCAGATTGGGCTCTGCACTCGGATCAGGACTGACCATGGAGGTGCTGCCTCTGCAGAAGCATCTGGTTGTTTAAAGCCACAGAGGCGAGGACCCTTCAAGCATTTTAAACCTCTCATTTTAACATTGCCGGGTTCCACCTCAGAATTTGTCTTCTTTTCATTTTCCTAGCTTTTAAAAGCACATTTGGCATTTTTTCTTGGTTTAGGACAATAATACTGAAATCTTTTTCTTTTTTCTTTTCTTTTTTTTTTTTTTTTTTTGAGATGGAGTCTCACTCTGCTGCCCAGGCTGGAGTGCAGTTGTGCAATCTCAGCTCACTGCAACCTCCGCCTCCCGGGTTCAAGCAATTCTCCTGCCTCAGCCTCCTGAGTAGCTGGGATTACAGGTGCCCACCACCATGCCCAGCTAATTTTTGTATTTTTAGAAGAGACAGGGTTTCACCATGTTGGTCAGGCTGGTCTTGAACCCCTGACCTCATGATCCACCCACCTCAGCCTCCCAAAGTGCTGGGATTACAGGCGTGAGCCACTGCGCCCGGCCAACACTGAAATCTTTGTTTGTGGAGACTTTAGGAATCTGTCAGGATTTTCAGAGTCTTCATGCTCTCCACTGGTTTTACATTTTTTCTTTGTTTTCATGTGTTTGTTTGCTTTTAATTCGAACTGCATTGTGTGGCTTGTCAGCTAAATGGGTTATCTCTATCTAGTGTGTTGTTCTTAATGATTCTCTGTGGCATACTTTCCATTTCTCACTCCCTGATCACCAGAAGCTAATAGCAGTAGAACTCTAAACAAATGAGCCACGATTTCCAAGGGACCATTTCTGCCAGCATTTGATTATTTTTGTATTGTGTGAGGTTGTTGCCTAGGAAGTTTTTATTTTCTGTATCCACACTTTCTATGGTTTCTTGATTTCATAGATGGTAAAAAAGAAAGCAGTTTTGGGTTATATTTATAAAAATTATCTTTAAAATCTTCAGTTACATAGCACATAATTTCTTGTAAAATTCTTGTTGTGAATCACAGAAGAATCTTTTAATTCAACTAATCACAGGTGCTTTAATGTAAAGCTTATAGTAAAGAGATTTTTTATGAGCTAAGTACTGTGTCCTAGGGTCCATTTAAGTTCAGTGGGTGAACTAATTATAATGATATGATTTGAGCCTGCTGAAAATAATTATCCCAACCTGTTTATTCATTTAGAAAAGCTTCTAACAATGGCTAATGGCTTTTAACCTGTGGAAAGATATTTGGTTGGATCCTATGAAACAGCCATTTTTGCAGGTCTGAAATGATGAAATATCAGCAACTTCACAGGGTTAAAATAGTGTACTAAAAATGACAGGAGAACTTAAGAAGAAAAAATACAGTAACCTAGACTCATGCAAAAACCTGGAGAAGGGGAAGAGAAGGGATGTGTAAGAATAAAATAAGACAGTTCAGCAACCAGGAGCCAATCTCCATTCCGAGTGCTCTTTTGCCTTTGTTCAAAATTTAATAATGTCTTGCTTTTGTGGAACATTTTTATTTTATTTTATTTTATTTTATTTATTTGAGACAGGGTCTGACTCTGTTGTCAAGGCTGGAATGCAGTGGTGCAATTTTGGCTCACTGCAACCTCAATTTTCTAGGCTCAAGTGATCCTCCCACCTCAGCCTCCTGAGTAGCTGGGACTACAGATGTGCCACCACGCCCAGCTAATTTTTTATTTTTAGCAGAGACAGACTAAGGTTATATTGCCCATGCTGGTCTCAAACTCCTGGACTCAAGCAATCTGCCAGCCTCAGCCTCCCAAAGTGCTAAGATTACAGGCGTGAGCCACCACTCTGGATGAGCATTTGTAATGAGCTAGGCACTATGCTAACTGCTCCCTCTATATAGCCTATATATGCTGTCTAAAGAGACATTATTCATACATTCCATGAGGTATTTTAATCATTTTCCTGGATAAGTGAATTGAGGTTTCCAGAGTTGAAATAACTTTCCCAAGTCCAGGCAACATTCAAATCTAGTTTTGTCTGATTCTAAAATTTCTGCCCTGAATCATGATGCCACTTCATCTTGTAAACAGGAAGCAGGAGAAAGCCTTGGTGCTCCACTCTTAGTATTAATATCAAGAGAGAATCTGTACCAAAGAGCAAATTCAACACTGTTTCTCTTTTTTTGGCTTCTTCAGGGTTTTGCCTGCTTCTTTATATATCAGTGCTTTAAACCACCAGGTGTTAGAGTCATCAGATTTTAAATGAAATCATTCCATTTCCTGTTATACCTCAAAGCTTAGACTCTGTTTTATTTACAGTTAGACTCTCAGTTATAAAGGCTGTGCTTTCTTTTTCTACCAAGGATGCATCAAAGGTAGAAAATGGCTCAGCTGCAAGCACCATGGATGGGTAAGATGGAGCATGAAGATTCCAAGGGGATAGAATTTTCCTCCCCTTTTCTTCATGGGGTTGAGAAAATGTCTTATTGCCTGCTTCCAGTGTCCAGATGCGTTAGGCACATTTTAGGAGATGGCGAATGATAAACTGCCAAATCATCAGATAGCCTCTTCCAACTTTCACCTGATTCATATTTTATCAAATAAATAAAAATACAGATATAAGAAGAGAAACAGTGGGAAAACAAAGAGAGAAAATGTTTTTAATAATATTTGTAGGTTTTTGAGCAAATCTATATGTAGTTTCCAAATGTAACTTCAGTTGTGAAGGGTTAGATTCAGAATCTTGACGGATGTGAGAATGTTTTTAACGCCACAACACACACCACTCCTTCATGTTTCTGAGCCTGCTCTGTACCTTGGACATTTTATATTTGGGAGCTTAAGATGATTTTTAAAAAAATCTCTTTCCAACCAATTCTTCTAGAACAAATCTAGTGAAGCAGATGCAACGCAAGGTGGAGACACTGGGAACTGGCTGGGCTGCCGGGTGAATTCCAGTACAGACCCAACACCACCACAGAAACTAGGAATTTCCCTAGAAGCATTTAGGAGAACTAGCTCTACTTTTCCAGGAGCTTAGTTTATTGATTCATCGCCTACTTTAGGTCAGGCAGTTTGCCAAGAGCTGTGGATACACAGATGATTGTGACATAGTTCCTACTCCTCAAGGAGAAATTAGAATGAGATTCAGACAAGTGAACTGTCAATGATGCAATTCTAGATAAGGGCTGTCATGGGATAAGGGGAACGTGGGGTGCTATGCTTCCCCAAAGGGAGTCAGAGGAAGTGTCTGCTGGAGGCATCAAAATTAGGGCTCTGTCTATGCTGGAACCTTAGCCCTAGTGGGGGCTTGTATTTCTCAGTTTTCCTTGCCTGCTAGGTGAAAATTTATTTAGCTAGGGCACAGTGCTTCTGGCCCTAATGAGGTACTTCTCTTTGTGGGCAATATTTTTGTGATTGATAAAATAAATGCATCTTCCTCAACTGACAGCAGGAAAATGTGAAGAGAGGTGACAGGGTGATGGGCCACAGAGAGGGAGAAATGAGTACATCTCTGTACGTACAAATGCTTTTTCATCTATATGTTGTTATCCATACAAAAATAGCAATCCACAAGACCCGTTGTAATAAAGGAATTACAGGGCATCAAAGAAAAGAGGGAGTTTTCCAGGCTTGTTTAAACATTGATGCTCATCTCTACCATTCAGGAAGAAAATCCATCAGGCTTTTCTTCTGTTTCTCAGTGGCTAATGGACTATATGAAACTCAATTTCTGTACAGCAAGTTGGCCATAAGATGTACTTAGCAGACAATTAACATCAGCAGCCAACAACTAGAGTTGGTTAAATATCTACCGGCCTGGGGCAATCCTCATGAGTGATATAAGTAATCTTAAAAGAAATCAGTTCCCACCTTCTTGGTTTATGTTTCTTAAAATGGGATCCAAGGATCAGCTGTATCAGAACCAAAGAGGGTACTTGTTACAAATACAGGTTCTAAGATCCCTCTTCCAGATCTTGATTCAGAATCTCTTTAGGTAGTAAACCCATACAAGAATTTTTTTTTTCCATCTCACTCTGTTGTCCAGGCTGGAGTGCAGTGGCCCAATCTCAGCTCACTGCAACCTTCGCTTCCTGGGTTCAAGTGATTCTCCTGTATCAGCCTCCTGAGTAGCTGGGATTACAGGCATGCGCCAACATGCTCAGCTAATTTTTGTATTTTTAGTAGAGATGGGGTTTTGACATTTTGGCCAGGCTGGTCTTGAACCTCTGACCTCAGGTGATCCACCCACCTCGGCCTCTCAAAGTCCTAGGATTACAGGTGTGAGCCACTGTTCCCGGACCTATATACGGATTTTTAAAAATAAATTTCTCAATGATTTTTATGCATGCCACAGTTTGGGGAACACTACTATGGCAGTTTACAATCTTAGAATGCAATCTGGAACAGGCACACATATAAAGCAAGAATGTACAGAGGGAAATATGAAAAACACATTTAATCCATGGTAATAAACGTAGATTGAAAGAGAAGAAATAATACTCATGACACTGCAGTCCCAGAAACCATTAAAACACAATTAGATTTTTCTTGCTAAAAAGCACCAACCACAGAGATGCTAATTGCTCACTAGTCCTAGATCCAGGAGCTTTAGATTAATTTTCTAGTGGGCTTACCTGGTTCTTGTACTACGTATATATTGCTAGGGGTAAGTTGAGGGACTATTTCAGAAGCACCAGTGGCACCTTGGCATAAATACACATTTCAGACCAGGGCAAATTTTACTCTACAATAACAGCCAGGTTCTGGGATGAGGAGGCATCCTGTCTCAACCAGGAAGAATTGCACAGATTTTATCAGTAGTTTTACAGGGAATTTTCTCAATTGTCCAGACCCGGGTTAATGGACTTGCAGATTTAGAATCCCACCTCTCCTTGGCCACTATTCATCTCATCACTGATGCTGATGTTTCTCTTCTTCACAGACCCCTCTTCCCTGGGTTTAAGGACTATATATTCCTAGAAGTCCCTGCTAAACAAGTAACTGCAGGTTATAATCCACAGTGGCTAAAGCTAATCTGATGAATGAGATAATTGAAAGACAAAAAAACAGAAGGCTCAAAAGTCTGCATCAAGTTCTTAGATATTCACATTGCACAGAAAAAAAGAGAGAAATGATGGGGAAAGGGTAAAAAAAAGGAGAGGAGAGAGTTAATTATGCAAATATGAAAAGAAAGCAGATGGTGGGACTGGAAGCCTCAGGTGGCAGTGTCATTTTTAAAAGGTCAAACTTGGAAAGGCAGATATTGTAACCAGTGATTCAGAATCACATTGCCTCTTTTCCTTCTTGTTTATGGGTTGAAATGTGTCCCTCCAAACCAGAATAAAATCCTAACCCCCAGAAACTGTGAATGTGATCTTATTTGGAAATAAGGTCTTTGCCAGTGATCAAATTAAGATGAGGTCATTAGGGTGGGCGTTAATCTGACTGGTATCCTTATTAAAAGAGGGAAATTTGGGCACAGAAATAGACATGGATAAAGGAAAGACATGTAAAGACACAGGGAGAAGGCCATCTACAGCCAACGAGTGCCTGAGGCTGCTGGGAACTAGGAGAGATCTCACAGAGCTCAGGAGAAGCCAATCCTTCCAGCACCTTGATTTTTGCACTTCTAGCCACTCTAGAACTGGGAGACGATACACTTTTCTTGTTTAAGGCATCCAATTTCTGGCAGTTTGTTATGGCAGCCCAAGGAAAAAATACATTTCTTGAAAATTAGATTTAAGAATTAAAAAGAACAAATCAGAATGCTATCAAGATAGAAAACTTTGTATGACTGAATTTTCTAAGCAAGTTTTGTTTTTGTAAATGAATTGATAGAAAGTAAGAGTGGGCAAATAAATATGATAGACTGGGTTATAACTCAAAAAGTTGAAGTCAAAATTTCTGATAAACAATGAAAATAAAAAGTGGGTCTTGTTATTCTCAGGCAGCTTGGTGTGGGCCGATGGAGCTGAGGACTCTTACAAACTGGCACAACCTCCTCTTTTTCAATTGAGGAAACTGAGAACAATTAAATAACTTGGCCAAAAAATAGCTTTTAGCTTATAAAGCAATTACATCGGCTATATGAACAGAAGCTTGACTGACCAGAACTTTTCAATGTACTTTATTACACAACGTAATTGACTCAAGAGACAGGCAACTTTGTCTGCCAATATGTTTCCAAATCATCCTAGGAGGCAAGGGCATTATATTTCTTCTGTGAGACTTTCAGATACAGTGAATAGCTGCATGCCATGTTTACTCACCTGAAAGGGGCAGGGTGATGATTATTGCCACCCTCATTACATTTAGGTTTTTTCGTTTGTTTTTAATTTTTATTTTCATAGGTTATTGAGGAACAGATGGTGTTTGGTTACATGAGTAAGTTCTTTAGTGGTGATGTGTGAGATTTTGGTGCACCCATCACCTGAGTAGTATACTCTGCACACAGTTTGTAGTCTTTTACCCCTTAATTCCTTTCCACCCTTTCCCCATGAGTCCTCAAAGTCCATTGTGTCATTCTTAGGCCTTTGCATCCTCATAGCTTAGCTCCCACTTATAAGTGAGAACATACGATGTTTGGTTTTCCATTCCTGAGTTACTTCACTTAGAATAATAGTCTCCAATCTCACCCAGGTTGCTGCAAATGCCGTTAATTCATTTTTATGGCTGAGTAGTATTCCATTATATATATACCACAGTTTCTTTATCCACTCATTGATTGATGGGCATTTGGGTTAGTTCCCCATTTTTGCACTTGCAAATTGTGTGCTTTAAACATGTGTGTGCAAGTATCTCTTTCATATAACGACTTCTTTTCCTCTGAGTAGATACCTGGTAGTGGGATTGCTGGATCAAATGGTATTTCTACTCTTATTTCTTTAAGGAATCTTCACACTGTTTTCCATAGTGGCTGTACTAGTTTACATCCCCACCAGCAGTGTAGAAGTGTTCCCTGTTCACCACATCCATGCCAACATCTATTATTTTTTGATTTTTTGATTATGGCCATTCTTGGAGGAGTAAGGTGGTTTTGATTTGCATTTCCCTGGTCACTAGTGTTGTCGAGCATTTTTTCATATGTTTGTTGGCCATTTGTATATCTTCTTTTGAGAATTGTCTATTCATGTCCTTAGCCTACTTTTTGATAAGATTGTTTTTTCTTGCTAATTTTTTTGAGTCCGTTGTAGATTCTGGATATTACTCCTTTGTCAGATGTATACATTGTGAAGACTTTCTCCCACTCTGTGGGTTGTCTGCTTACTCTGCTGACTGTTCTTTTTGCCGTGCAAAAGCTTTTTAGTTTGATTAAATTCCAGCTATTTATCTTTGTTTTTATTGCATTTGCTTTTGGGTTCTTGGTCATGAAATCTTTGCCTAAGCCAATGTCTAGAAGGGTTTTTCCAATGTTATCTTCTAAAATTTTTATAGTTTCAAGTCTTAGATTTAAGTCTTTGATCCATCTTTAGTTGATTTTTGTATAAGGTGAGAGATGAGGATCCAGTTTCGTTCTCCTACATGTGGCTTGCCAATTATCCCAGCACCATATATTGAATACGGTGTCCTTTCCCCACTTTACGCTTGTATTTGCTTTGTGGAGATCAGTTGGCTGTAAGTATTTGGGTTTATTTCTGGGTTTTCTAATCTGTTCCATTGGTCTATGTGCCTATTTTTATACTAGTACCATACTGTTTTGGTGACTATGGCCTTATAGTATAGTTTGAAATCAGGTAATGTGATGCCTCCAGATTTATTCTTTTTGCTTAGTTTTGTTTTTGCTATGTGTGCTCTTTTTTGGTTCCATATAAATTTTAGGATTGTTTTTTCTAATTCTGCGAAGAATGATGGTGGTATTTTGGTGGGAATTGCATTGAATTTGTAGATTGCTTTTGGCAGTATGGTCATTTTCACAATATTAATTTTACCAATCCATGAGCATGGGCTGTGTTTTCATTTGTTGGTATTGTCTATGATTTCTTTCAGCACAGTTCTGTAGTTTTTCTTGTAGAGGTCTTTCACTTCCTTGGTTAGGTACATTCCTAAGTATTTTATTTTTTTTGCAGCTATTGTGTAAGGGGTTGAGTTCTTGATTTGTTTCTCAGCTTTGTTGCTGTTGGTGTGTAGAAGAGTTACTGATTTGTGTACATTAATTTTGTATCCCAAAATTTTGCTGAATTCTTTATCAGTTCTAGGAGTTTTCTGAAGGAGTATTTAGGGTTTTCTAGGTAAACAGTCATATCACTGGCAAACAGTCACAGTTTGACTTCCTTTTTACCAATTCGGATGCCCTTTATTTCTTTCTCTCGTCCTATTGCTCTGACTAGAACTTCCAATACTATATTGAAGAGAAGTGGTAAGAGTGGGCATCCTTGTCTTGTTCCAGTTCTCAAAGGGAATGCTTTCAACTTTTCCTCATTCAGTATTATGTTGGCTGTGGGTGTTTCATAGATGGCTTTTATTACATTGAGGTATGTCCCCTGTATGCTGATTTTGATGAGAATTTTAATCATAAAGGGATGCTGGATTTTGTCAAATGCTTTTTCTGCATTTATTGAGATGATCATGTGATTTTTGTTTTTAATTCTGTTTACATGGTGTATCACATTTATTGACTTGCATATGTTAAGCCATCCTTGCATCCCTGGTATGAAACCCACTTGATCATGGTGGATTATTTTTATGATATGTTGTTGGATTCAGTTAGCTAGTATTTTGTTAAGGATTTTTGCATCTTTTGCATCTATGTTCATAAAGGATATTGGTCTGTGGTTTTGTTGTTGTTGTTGTACCTAGGTGATGTTCTTTTTGCGTTGAATTTCCCAGATGTTCTTTGAGCTTCTTGTATTTGGATGTCTAGGTCTCTAGCAACGCGGGGGAAACTTTCCTCGATTATTCCCCCAAATATGTTTTCCAAACTTACAGATTTTTCTTCTTTCTCAGGAATGCTGATTATTCTGAGGTTTGGCCATGTAACATAATCCCAGACTTCTTGTAGGGTTTGCTCATATTTTCTTATTCTTTTTTCCATGTAATTGTTGGATTGGGTTAATTTGAAAACCTGGTCTTTGAGCTCCAAAGTTCTTCCTACTGTTTGTTCGATTCCATTGCTGAGACTTTCCAGGGCATTTTGCATTTCTATAAGCATGTCCATTGTTTCCTGAAGTTTTGATTGTTTTTTATTTATGCTATCTATTTCATTGAAAATTTCTCCCTCGTTTCTTGTATCATTTTTTTGACTTCCTTAAATTGGGCTTCGCCTTCTGCTGGTGCCTCCCTGATTAGCTTAATAACTAACCTCCTGAATTCTTTTCCAAGTATAGCAGGGATTTCTTCTTGGTTTGGATCCATTGCTCGTGAACTAGTGTGATTTTTTGGGAGTGTTAAAGAGACTTCTGTCATATTACCAGAGTTGGTTTTTTGGTTTATTCTCATTTGGGTAGGCTCTGTCAGAGGGAAGGTCTAGGGCTCAAGTCCTGTTGTTCAGATTCTTTTGTCCCATGGGATGTTCCCTTGATGTAGTACTCTCCCCCTTTTCCTAGGGATGTGACTTCCTGAGAGCCGAGCTATAGTGACTGTTATTTCTCTTCTGGATCCAGCCACCCAGCAGTTCAGCAGGCTCCAGGCTGGTACTGGGGTTTGTCTGTACAGAGTTCTGTGTTGTGAACTGTCTATGGGTCTCTAAACTGCGGATACCAGCACAATATTTAGGGTGTATTCTGGGTCCTGCAGGAGCAATCTGCTTCCTTCAGAGAGTCTATGGGTTCTCTTGGCTTTCCTGATTTGTTTCTGCAGTTGTTCTGGAGCAAAAGTTCACGATGTGAACCTCCACATGGTGCTCTGTCCATCCAAGCGGGAGCGCAATCTACTTCTGCCTCCCATCCGCCATGATCTCTCTCACATTTGCTTTATTGTATGGTTTGAAGGTGGCATTTAAGATAATCAAGTAATGTCTACTGAACCTGAAAAAAAATAAATGCCTGTCTGCCCTCTCTCTTTCTATTTCTTCCCTCCTCCTTCTTCTTTTTCTCCCCCTCTCCTTCCTTCCTCTCTCTCTCTCTCTCTTATCATTAGGTGATAAAGCAGGGTCTGTTTCAGACTCAATTAAAAATCATGAAAAAGATTTTTAAGATCTCAGGCTGGACAGCTGATAGAGCAAGGAAAAATAGGAAGGCTTCAATGCTGTAAGTAGAAGTGAACTGCATTTACTGAGGCCTCTGTTTAGAAAGGCTTTTTGAATGTAGTTGCAGGATATAAGAATCTTATAATTTGATGGGCAGTGGCTTCATATCTGAACTGTGTCAATATTTATAAACTGTACTGCCACACCATTGAGTGTTTTTTCTGATAAAGGCTTTTAACTGTCAAATATTACCTTGATTTGTCACTTGGCTTCAATTTTTAGTAGCTATGCTATGAAATGTGGATTTCAGGTATACCATCTCACTAATTATGGCATTCACTGATAACTTCATACATAAACATATAACTAGAACAGGGATCTGTATCTTTATCAGTGATAAAGATTATCTATTTCAGCCTGGGCAACAAAGTAAGACTGTATCTCTACAAAAAAAATTAATCAGCTAGGTGTGGTGGCATGTGCCTGGAGTTCCAGCTACTTGGGAGGCTGAGGTGGGAGGATTGCTTGAGCTCAGGAGGTCAAGACTGCAGTGAGCTATGTTTGTACCACTGCACTCCAGCCTGAAAGACAGAGTGAGAACCTGTCTCAAAAAAAGAAAAAAAGATTATCAATTGATATAAAAAACTCTCATAGCCCCTCTCTGACAATAACTTTTTAGAAAACCTTTTTACTTTGGAAAGAATTTTATATATGAAAACTACAATGTCTGGGGTGAAAATATACGGGATGGGATTAAAAACACATTAGACACTACAGAAAAAACAATAAGTGAACTTATTGAAACTATACAAAATAAAGCCCGGAGAAAAAACTGAAAAAGTATTGAGCAGTACATCAGTGTGTTGTGAGCGATTTAAACGGCCTAATAAACATGTAATTAGAATCCCTATACAAGGTATAAATAGGAGAAAGTTTAAAAATATTTGAAGAAATTATTGCCAAAAATTTTTCAAATTTGTTGAGAAATATAACCCACAAATTCAGTGACTCATGAACTCCAAGCACAAGAAACAGAGAAATACATGAACATGCATCATAATCAAGTTATTAAGAACCAAGCCAGGCCTGAGGGCATGTACCTGTAGTCCCAGGTACTCAGGAGTTTGAGGTGGGAAGATTGCTTGTTCCCAGGAGTTCTGGGCTGTAGTGCACTATGCCAATCAAGTGTCCACACTAACTTCAGTATCAGTATGGTGACCTCCCAGGAGCAGGGGACCACCAGGTTGCTAAGGAGGAGTGAACTGGCCCAGGTCAAAAATGGAGATGATCAAATCTGCTGTTCTCATCAGTAATGGAATCACCCCTGTGCATAGCCACTCACTCTAGCCTGAGCAACATAGCAGGACCCTGTCTCAAAAAAAGAAAAAACCAAAAACGAAAACCCAAAACAAAAACAAAAAAATGATAAAGAGAAAACATTAAAAGCATCCAAAGGAGTGGGAAAAATACATTATATATACAGGAATGAAGAAAAAATGACAGCAGATTCAGAAATAATCCATGCCAGAAGACATTCAATCAGCAAAGAACTGAAGAATACTATACTTACCTGGCAGGGGAGATACCATGATCACATAGATGGTTTTCCCATGGCAAGTCTTATCCATTGCACTCTGGATGTGCTGACACCTGTGATTTCACCAAATGTGGGAAACTCAACTGCATAATTTGTGGTAGTGGGGGATTTTGTTTGTGCTTTCCCCTGGAAAAAAAAAAAAGAAGAACAACACTAGAAATGGTAAATAAGAGGGTAAAAATGAAATACACTTTTTCTTATTTTGAGTCTCTTTAAAAAATCATTGGCTGTTTAAAATATGTTGTTTAGTAATAGTATATAATGGAATTCATAGGGATTAGTGAAATAAAATGTATAACAGCAATAGCACAAAGGCTGATGGATGGTGGCTGTGGGGGCAGTGGTGAAAGAAAGTTTACTGTACCTGAAGTGGTATAATATTACTAGGAGGTAGACTATGATAAGCTAAAGATATATACTATAAATCTAAGATATAGATATATATCTAAAGATATATACTAGAGATATATGCTAAATACTATAAAGACATATACTAAAAAGATATATACTATAAATTCTAAAGTAACTGTTAAAGATATATACTATAAGTCCTAAAGTAACTACTTAAAAAACAAATAAAAAGTTATAGTAAATAAACCCACTAAGAAGATATGATGGATTCTTAAAAAATAATAATCCAAAAGAAGTCAAGAAAAGGAAGGGAACAAAAAACAGAAGAAACAACTAGAAAACTAATAGCAAAATTGTTCATTTAAACTCAGTTATGTTGATGATTACATTAAATGTAAATGGCCTAACTACCTCCAACCAAAAGGCAGAGATTGTATAAAAAAGCAACCCAACAATAAGCTGTCTATAAAAAATTTACTTTAAATATAAACATACAAATAGAGTAAAATAATGAAAACACATGATGCTAATAATATTTAAAAGTTAGATTTCTTATATTAATATCAGACAATGTAGATTTCAGAACCAAAAATATTAGGATGGATTTAAAAAGATTGTTTCATTATGACAAGGGCTCAACTCATCAAAAGAACATAACAATTCTTAAAGTTTATGAACCTAATATCAGAGCTTCAAATTTTTTGAAGCAAAAATTGGTAGAACTCAAAAAAGAAACAGATAAAATTTATGTTTTAGGTTTGGCAAATAGTCTAATGCCATTAACATAATAAGGAGATATTATAAAATACATGCTTATGAATATTTTATAATTCATCCAGGTACCCCAAAGATTGTGAAATATACATCATTAGAGATAAAGGAAGAGATCCAGTGCGTATATAAAATGAAAAACTAGAATTATTTATGTTGCTCATTCATGTATTCATCTATATATTAATTAAAAAATATTTACCATACTCTATTTTCTTCTGAGATAAAGCTTGCTGTCAAAAATCTAATGGCAATCTGATTTTACTTCCTTTATAAGTGATTTGGTCTTTTGGCTACATTGGCGAAGATTCTTTTTCTTTCCATAAAGTATGGTAATTTGATTATACTATTTCTCAGCAATAGCAATTGTAGGTTGATTTTTCTGAGTTTATAATATGCTTTGATACTATTTTATATTCTCTCTTTTTAAAAATATTTCAAAAAAATTTTTTTTGAATTATGAATTTTAATTATTTTCTTCTGTTTTGGTTTTCTTCTATAAATATCTTCTATTTATGCATCACTTTCAAATATTTTAAAATTCTCTTTTTATAATTTCTTCATTTAAAAATTTTTCTCATTTCATCTGTAACTCTTAAGGCATTATCTATTGCATGTATTCTCTCTGTGGTGTAAAAAAGACTGCACTAGAAGTTTTAGTCCTTGTTTCCAAATCTATTTGTTATTTTATTTCTAATTCCTTCCTTAGTTCTATCCCATCTCTAAGTGTTTCTAATTCTTACTTATGTTGTTTTTCAGAATTCTATTTTTTCTATTCATTTTAGCTCATCCTAAAATATTAGATGTCATTTTTATCTTTTTTGTTGGCATGTTTCTTTCTGGCATGCTGTAGGTTTTATTAGGGATGTTATTCTGCTCCTTATTTTCTCTTCCTTTCCTAGAATAATTTGTATGCAATTCAGTTACAATCAGTTTCTGTTGTTTCTTTTTATGTAAAGTTAATTTTCTGTAACTATAAGGATAGGGTTGGCCAGGATAGCTTTTTTCGATTCACAACTTCAGAGCTTATTATTTGTTCAATTATGAGGTGCTGTACTCTCAGAGACCTCCTGGCTCTTTTTCTCCCATTAGTTTTATTTGAGGCTCTTTTTTTTTTTTTTTTTCTGTGTCCCTATTATCCCTGTCCTGTTTCTGTGGGCTTTTGTTCCAGAAGGGGCCCTTTGGCTGCTTGGTTTCAAGAGTCCACAGGCCCAGGCAAGATTTGCCTAAGAACTAGACTGTGCCAAAGACCCTTTCAGTTTCTGTTATTTTTCTCAAAATTGTCCCACTGTGTGAATTCCAGTGGCTGCCTTTTAGAAATTTGGGGTTCTTCTGGTCTCAGGTCCATCATAGGCCTAATTGTTTTCCTCTGCTTTCCTCAACACAGATGTTTATACTACAAGACTTTGGAACTGGAAAGTGTTCAACCCTACCAGATCTTAATTTTGGTTTGTAGGTGATAAAAATTTGCCTGATTTTTATCAGTCATGGATGTTTTCTGTGTTTTAAGTTATGCAAGCCTAGTCATAATGTCTGTTTTGTGTGTGTGTGTATATATATATATATATATACATATACATATTTGTATGTATTTTTATTGTGTGTGTGTGTATATATATATATATGTATTTTTATTTTTGGTGGATGCATTAGAGGGGAGATTAAAAATCTATGCTGCTTGGCCAGGCATGGTGGCTCACACCGGTAATCCCTGCACTCTGGGAGACTGAGGTGGGAGAATGGCTTGAGCCCAGGAGTTCGAGAACAGCCTGGGAAACATAGGGAGATCCGGTCTTTACAAAAACATGTTTTAAAGAATTAGCTGGGCATGGTGGTGTGTGCCTGTGGTCCTAACTACTCAGGAGACTGAGGTGAGAGGATTGGCTGAGACTGGAAGGTCAAGGCTGCAGTGTGCCATGATCAGGCCACTGCATTCCAGCTTGGGTGACAGGGAGAGATCTTGTCTCAAAAAAAAAAAAAAAAAAAAGCTGCTTCAATATGACACAAAAACTTATGCAAGAAAAGAAAAAATAGATAAGACAGACCTTATCAAAATTAATAAAAACTTTTGTGTGTCAAAGGACACCATCAAGAAAATGAAAAGATGACAAAATAGAAGAAAATATCCGCAAACCATACATCTGATAAGGGTCTAGATACAAAGTATATTTTTAAAAAATTCTTAGAACTTAATTATAAAAAGATAAGCCACTCAATAAAAAATAGGCAAAATATTTGAAATAGATATTTTTCTAAAGAAGATATACAAATGGCCAAAAGCACATGAAAAGATGTTCAGTATCATTAAGCATTAGGGAAATGCATATCAAAACCATGAGTCACCAGTGTACTCCTACTATAATGGCCGTGAGAAAACCTGAAAATATCAAGTATTTTCAAGGATATGGAGAAATTAAAACCCTCATACATTGCTGGTAAGAATGTAGAATGGCCCAGCTACTGAGGAAAACAATTTAGCAGTTCTTCAAAAGTTAAATAGAGTTTTCTAACTATATGACCAGCAATTCCATACCTATATATCTGCCCCAATGCATTAAAAAATATATATACATACCAAAACTTGTACATGATTTTTCACAGCAGCAATATTTATAATAGCCAAAGAATGGAAAGAATTAAGGTATTCATCAATTGATTAGTGGATAAACAAAAGTTGATATACCTAAACAATGGAATATTACTCAGCCACAAAAAATAACGAAGTACTGATACATACTACAATATGGGTGAACCTTGAAAATGTTATGCTAAGTGAAAGAAACCAGACGGAAAAAGACATACGCTGGGTGAATTAATTTATATGAAATGTCCCAAATAGGCAAATCAATAGAGAAAAAAATTAGATTACCAGTTGCCAAAGTATGGTGAGAGAGGGGAAATGGGAGATACAGGGTTTTAAATATCCTAGGACAGTCCTTTCTAACTTCAGATCTATACCATTATTTCTTAAGAAACTTTCTCTAACTAAGGCACAGATCTTAAGCAAAAAAAGTTTTTTTTTTTCTTTTTTTAAATTTTATTATTATTATACTTTAAGTTTTAGGGTACATGTGCACAACGTGCAGGTTTGTTACATATGTATACATGTGCCATGTTGGTGTGCTGCACCCATTAACTCATCATTTAGCATTAGGTATATCTTCTAATGCTATCCCTCCCCCCTACTCCCACCCCACAACAGTCCCCAGAGTGTGATGTTCCCCTTTCTGTGTCCATGTGTTCTCATTGTTCAATTCCCACCTATGAGTGAGAACACGCGGTGTTTGGTTTTTTGTCCTTGCGATAGTTTGCTGAGAATGATGGTCTCCAGTTTCATCCATGTCCCTACAAAGGACATGAACTCATCATTTTTTATGGCTGCATAGTATTCCATGGTGTATAGGTGCCACATTTTCTTAATCCAGTCTATCATTGTTGGACATTTGGGTTGCTTCCAAGTCTTTGCTATTGTGAATAGTGCCGCAATAAACATACCTGTGCATGTGTCTTTATAGCAGCATGATTTATAGTCCTTTGGGTATACACCCAGTAATGGGATGGCTGGGTCAAATGGTATTTCTAGTTCTAGATCCCTGAGGAATCGCCACACTGACTTCCACAATGGTTGAACTAGTTTACAGTCCCACCAACAGTGTAAAAGTGTTCCTACTTCTCCACATCCTCTCCAGCACCTGTTGTTTCCTGACTTTTTAATGACTGCCATTCTAACTGGTGTGAGATGGTATCTCATTGTGGTTTTGATTTGCATTTCTCTGATGGCCAGTGATGATGAGCATTTTTTCATGTGTTTTTTGGCTGCATAAGTGTGTTCTTTTGAGAAGTGTCTGTTCATATCCTTAACCCACTTTTAGATGGGGTTGTTTGTTTGTTTCTTGTAAATTTGTTTGAGTACATTGTAGATTCTGGATATTAGCCCTTTGTCAGATGAGTAGGTTGCAAAAATTTTCTCTCATTCTGTAGGTTGCCTGTTCACTCTGATGGTAGTTTCTTTTGCTGTGCAGAAGCTCTTTAGTCTAATTAGATCCCATTTGTCAATTTTGGCTTTTGTTGCCATTGCTTTTGGTGTTTTAGACATGAAGTCCTTGCCCATGCCTATGTCCTGAATGGTATTGCCTAAGTTTTCTTCTAGGGTTTTTATGGTTTTAGGTCTAACATTTAAGTCTTTAATCCATCTTGAATTAATTTTTGTATAAGGTGTAAGGAAGGGATCCAGTTTCAGCTTTCTACATATGGCTAGCCAGTTTTCCCAGCACCATTTATTAAATAGGGAATCCTTTCCCCCTTGCTTGTTTTTCTCAGGTTCGTCAAAGATCAGATAGTTGTAGATATGCGGCATTATTTCTGAGGGCTCTGTTCTGTTCCATTGATCTATATCCCTGTTTTGGTACCAGTACCATGCTGTTTTGGTTACTGTAGCCTTGTAGTATAGTTTGAAGTCAGGTAGCATGATACCTCCAGCTTTGTTCTCTTGGCTTAGGATTGACTTGGCGATACAGGCTCTTTTTTGGTTCCATATGAACTTCAAAGTAGTTTTTTCCAGTTCTATGAAGAAAGTCATTGGTAGCTTGATGGGGATGGCATTGAATCTTTAAATTACCTTGGGCAGTATGGCCATTTTCACGATATTGATTCTTTCTATCCATGAGCATGGAATGTTCTTCCATTTGTTTGTATCCTCTTTTATTTCATTGAGCAGTGGATTGTAGTTCTCCTTGAAGAGGTCCTTCACATCCCTTGTAAGTTGGATTCCTAGGTATTTTATTCTCTTTGAAGCAATTGTGAATGGGAGTTCACTCAGGATTTGGCTCTCTGTTTGTCTGTCATTGGTGTATAAGAATGCTTGTGATTTTTGTATATTGATTTTGTATCCTGAGACTTTGCTGAAGTTGCTTATCAGCTTAAGGAGATTTTGGGCTGAGATGATGGGGATTTCTAGATATACAGTCATGTCATCTGCAAACAGGGACAATTTGACTTCCTCTTTTCCTAATTGAATACCCTTTATTTCCTTCTCCTGCCTGATTGCCCTGGCCAGAACTTCCAACACTGTGTTGAATAGGAGTGGTGAGAGAGGGCATCTGTGTCTTGTGCCAGTTTTCAAAGGGAATGCTTCCAGTTTCTGCCCATTCAGTATGATATTGGCTGTGGGTTTGTCATAGATAGCCCTTATTATTTTGAGATACGTCCTATCAATACCTAATTTATTGAGAGTTTTTAGCATGAAGGGTTGTTGAATTTTGTCAAAGGCCTTTTCTGCATCTATTGAGATAATCATGTGGTTTTTGTCTTTGGTTCTGTTTATATGCTGGATTATGTTTATTGATTTTCGTGTGTTGAACCAGCCTTGCATCCCAGGGATGAAGCCCACTTGATCATGGTGGATAAGCTTTTTGATGTGCTGCTGGATTCGGTTTGCCAGTATTTTATTGAGGATTTTTGCATCAATGTTCATCAAGGATATTGGTCTAAAATTCTCTTTTTTGGTTGTGTCTCTGCCCGGCTTTGGTATCAGGATGATGCTGGCCTCATAAAATGAGTTAGGGAGGATTCCCTCTTTTTCTATTGATTGGAATAGTTTCAGAAGGAATGGTACCAGTTCCTCCTTGTACCTCTGGTAGAATTCGGCTGTGAATCCATCTGGTCCTGGACTCTTTTTGGTTGGTAAGCTATTAATTATTGCCTCAATTTCAGAGCATGTTATTGGTCTATTCAGAGATTCAACTTCTTCCTGGTTTAGTCTTGGGAGGGTGTATGTGTCCAGGAATTTATCCATTTCTTCTAAATTTTCTAGTTTATTTGCATAGAGGTGTTTATAGTATTCTCTGATGGTAGTTTGTATTTCTGTGGGATCGGTGGTGATATCCCCTTTGTCATTTTCTATTGCATCTATTTGATTCTTCTCTCTTTTCTTCTTTATTAGTCTTGCTAGCGGTCTATCGATTTTGTTGATCTTTTCAAAAAACCAGCTCCTGGATTCATTGATTTTTTGAAGGGTTTTTTATGTCTCTATTTCCTTCATTTCTCCACTGATCTTAGTCATTTCTTGCCTTCTGCTAGCTTTTGAAAGTGTTTGCTCTTGCTTCTCTAGTTCTTTTAATTGTGATGTTAGGGTGTCAATTTTAGATCTTTCCTGCTTTCTCTTGTGGGCATTTAGTGCTATAAATTTCCCTCTACACACTGCTTTGAATGTGTCCCAGAGATTCTGGTATGTTGTGTCTTTGTTCTTGTTGGTTTCAAAGAACATCTTTATTTCTGCCTTCATTTCGTTATGTACCCAGTAGTCATTCAGGAGCAGGTTGTTCAGTTTCCATGTAGTTGAGCGGTTTTGAGTGAGTTTCTTAATCCTGAGTTCTAGTTTGATTGCACTGTGGTCTGAGAGACAGTTTGTTATAATTTCTGTTCTTTTACATTTGCTGAGGAGAGCTTTACTTCCAACTATGTGGTCAATTTTGGAATAGGTGTGGTGTGGTGCTGAAAAGAATGTATATTCTGTTGATTTGGGGTGGAGAGTTCTGTAGATGTCTATTAGGTCCGCTTGGTGCAGAGCTGAGTTCAATTCCTGGGTATCCTTGTTAACTTTCTGTCTCATTGATCTGTCTAATGTTGAGAGTGGGGTGTTAAAGTCTCCCATTATTATTGTGTGGGAGTCTAAGTTTCTTTGTAGGTCACTCAGGACTTGCTTTATGAATCTGGGTGCTCCTATATTGGGTGCATATATATTTAGGATAGTTAGCTCTTCTTGTTGAATTGATCCCTTTACCATTATGTAATGGCCTTCTTTGTCTCTTTTGATCTTTGTTGGTTTAAAGTCTGTTTTATCAGAGACTAGGATTGCAACCCCTGCCTTTTTTTGTTTTCCATTTGCTTGGTAGATCTTCCTCCATCCCTTTATTTTGAGCCTATGTGTGTCTCTGCACGTGAGATGGGTTTCCTGAATACAGCACACTGATGGGTCTTGACTCTTTATCCAATTTGCCAGTCTGTATCTCTTAATTGGAGCATTTAGTCCATTTACATTTAAAGTTAATATTGTTATGTGTGAATTTGATCCTGTCATTAAGAAGTTAGCTGGTTATTTTGCTTGTTAGTTGATGCAGTTTCTTGCTAGCCTTGATGGTCTTTACAATTTGGCTTGTTTTTGCAGTGGCTGGTACCGGTTGTTCCTTTCCATGTTTAGTGCTTCCTTCAGGAGCTCTTTCAGCGCAGGCCGGGTGATGACAAAATCTCTCAGCATTTGCTTATCTGTAAAGTATTTTATTTCTCCATCACTTATGAAGCTTAGTTTGGCTGGATATGAAATTCTGGGTTGAAAATTCTTTTCTTTAAGAATGTTGAATATTGGCCCCCACTCTTTTCTGGCTTGTAGAGTTTCTGCCGAGAGATCAGCTGTTAGTCTGATGGGCTTCCCTTTGTGGGTAACCCGACCTTTCTCTCTGGCTGCCCTTAACATTTTTTCCTTCATTTCAACTTTGGTGAATCTGACAATTATGTGTCTTGGAGTTGCTTGGTGAATCTGACAATTATGTTTCTTGGAGTTGCTCTTCTTGAGGAGTATCTTTGTGGCATTCTCTGTATTTCCTGAATCTGAATATTGGCCTGCCTTGCTAGATTGGGGACGTTCTCCTGGATAATATCCTGCAGAGTGTTTTCCAACTTGGTTCCATTCTCCCCATCACTTTCAGGTACACCAATCAGACGTAGATTTGGTCTTTTCACATAGTCCCATATTTCTTGGAGGCTTTGTTCGTTTCTTTTTATTCTTTTTTCTCTAAACTTCCCTTCTCGCTTCATTTCATTCATTTCATCTTCCATCACTGATACCCTTTCTTCCAGTTGATCATATCGGCTCCTGAGGCTTCTGCATTCTTCACGTAGTTCTCGAGCCTTGGCCTTCAGCTCCATCAGCTCCTTTAAGTGCTTCTCTGTATTGGTTATTCTAGTTATACATTCATCTACATTTTTTTCAAAGTTTTCAACTTCTTTGCCTTTGGTTTGAATTTCCTCCTGTAGCTTGGAGTAGTTTGATCGTCTGAAGCCTTCTTCTCTCAACTCGTCAAAGTCATTCTCCGTCCAGCTTTGTTCCGTTGCTGGTGAGGAGTTGTGTTCCTTTGGAGGAGGAGAGGTGCTCTGCTTTTTAGAGTTTCCAGTTTTTCTGGTCTGTTTTTTCCCCATCTTTGTGTTTTTATCTAATTTTGGTCTTTGATGATGGTGACGTACAGATGGGTTTTTGGTGTGGATGTCCTTTCTGTTTGTTAGTTTTCCTTCTAACAGACAGGACCCTCAGCTGCAGGTCTGTTGGAGTTTGCTAGAGGTCCACTCCAGACCCTGTTTGCCTGGGTACCAGCAGCAGTGGCTGCAGAACAGCGGATTTTCATGAACCACAAATGCTGCTGTCTGATCGTTCCTCTGGAAGTTTTGTTGCAGAGGAGTACCCGGCCGTGTGAGGTGTCAGTCTTCCCCTACTGGGGGGTGCCTCCCAGTTAGGCTGCTCGGGGGTCAGGGGTCAGGGACCCATTTGAGGAGGCAGTCTGCCCATTCTCAGATCCCCAGTTGCGTGCTGGGAGAACCACTGCTCTCTTCAAAGCTGTCAGACAGGGACATTTTAGTCTGCAGAGGTTACTGCTTTTTGTTTGTCTGTGCCCTGCCCCCAGAGGTGGAGCCTACAGAGGCAGGCAGGCCTCCTTGAGCTGTGGTGGGCTCCACCCAGTTCGAGCTTCCCGGCTGCTTTGTTTACCTAAGCAAGCCTGGGCAATCGTGGGCGCCCCTCCCCCAGCCTTGCTGCCACCTTGCAGTTTGATCTCAGACTGCTGTGCTAGCAATCAGCGAGACTCCATGGGCGTAGGACCCTCCAAGCCAGGTGTGGGATATAATCTCCTAGTGTGCCGTTTTTTAAGCCCATCGGAAAAGTGCAGTATTAGGGTGGGAGTGACCCGATTTTCCAGGTGCTGTCTGTCACCCCTTTCTTTGACTAGGAAAGGGAACTCCCTGACCCCTTGTGTTTCCCGAGTGAGGCAATGCCTCGCCCCACTTCGGCTCACACATGGTGCACTGCACCCACTGTCCTGCGCCCACTGTCTGGCACTCCCTAGTGAGATGAACCCAGTACCTCAGATGGAAATGCAGAAATCACCGTCTTCTGCGTCGCTCACGCTGGGAGCTGTAGACTGGAGCTATTCCTATTTGGCCATCTTGGCTCCACCCTGGTCGGATCTGGTTTTTTAGGGCTGAAAGCATATACAGTTTTGGAGGCCCTCTGTAGCTTCTCAGGAATGCACCTGATGTCTTCAAGATGAGGCAAGCATTCCTTCCGCTTTCTTCCAGTCAGCTTTTGAAACCACCATTGCAAGATTATACCTGAGAAAATTATAGTAGTTAAAGAGATTTGCCCTGGCCGGGCGCGGTGACTCATGCCTGTAATCCCAGCACTTTGGGAGGCCGAGGAGGGTGGATCATGAGGTCAGGAGGTCAAGACCCTCCTGGCTAACTCGATGAAACCCCATCTCTACTAAAAGCACAAAAAATTAGCCAGGCGTGATAGGGGGCTCCTGTAGACCCAGCTACTCAGGAGGCTGAGGCAGGAAAATGGCCGACTCATTCTTATTCATTTTGAATTGTTGAATTATTTATTTTATTTTGAAGAGGTTTTCTATAAAAGAAAGCAGAGAAATGGTACAGTAACTGAAGGGATTTGGTACCAAGAATGGTATGTTTTTTGTTTGTTGCTTGTTTTGAAATAGGATAACATGCATTATGTTTTAAAACTGATGGAAATGATTCTTAAAAACAGCAGAGAGTAGCCGGGTGCAGTGGCTCACCCCTGTAATCCCAGCACTTTGGGAGGCCGAGGTGGGCAGATCACTTGAGGTCAGGAGTTTGAGACCAGCTAACACAGTGAAACCCCATCTCTACTAAAAATAAAAAAATTAGCTCAGTGTGGTGGCATGCACCTGTAATCCCAGCTACTTGGGAGGCTGAGGCAGGAGAACCGCTTCAACCTGGGAGGTGGAGGTTGCAATAAGCTGAGATCATGTCACTGCTCCCCAGTCTGGGTGACAGAGGCAGAATCCATCTCAAAAAAAAAAAAAAAAAAAGGTGATGACACTGGAGTGGGAGGGGAGACGGGAAGCAGTGCCCCAGAGGAAGAGCTACCTTAGAAAGAAACACTGAAAGGCCTTCCATTTAACAGGTAGAAGGTGGGAAACTATAATTTCCTACAGACAGGAAAGTAGATTTTTGGATGGACAGCGTGGAACAGCAAGTAAAGTCTTCAGCTTAGTATGAGGAAAAAGGAGACATTAAATTGGGCTTTTGAAGAGATAGGAGAGATAAGAAATGTGGTTAGGGATGGAGACAGAGAAGAATTAGCAGCCTAAGGAAATGTAGGCAGATTGATAGGAACTTTTGAAGGCCCACTAGAATTTTTAGTTACGAATTTTAAAATAAGACAAGTCATCATAGTGGAATATTTTTCTCCTGCCATGATAGGCTGCTTAGATGCTGGTACTGAACATGTCAACAGTTGAATTTAGTCAGGTTAGGCAAAGCCTGAATTAGTCAGGTTAGGCAATTATCCAAGAGTGCAAATGAGTAGATATATGTGTTAAATTTTGAAATATTAATCAAACTTTGCCAGCTGGACCGAAGAGGAGATTCAGATAGATGGAACCAAATATGCAAAGCTATGAAAGAGTGAAATGTTATAGTGTGTTCAGAAAACTACATGTAGTTCTATGTTGTTGGTGCAAAAAGTGGACATGCAGGAAAGGTGTCAGGAGACAATACTACAGACACTAGTGGCCTCGTGTTTTCTGCCAGCAGGTAAATCTACTAAAATATCAGACAGCAAAAGGAATCCAATGGCATATATGGTAAGAATATTAGAATTTACAACAGAGAACTATTGAAGGGTTTTAATTAGAAGGATGATATGATTAGTTTTGTATTGTAGAGAGAGTACCCTGGCAGCAGTGCAGCAATGTGGATTCTATACTGGAGTTGTTAAAGATTGCATATGTGGATTCTGTGGTAGGCAAAGTAATGGCCCTTCAAGGATATTTACCTCCTAATACCCAGAACCTGGGCATGAGTTACTATACATAGCGAAAGTGATTAAGTTAAGGATCTTGGGATGGGTGGATTACCTGTGCAGGCCTAGTGTAGCTACAAAGGTCTTTATAAGGGGAAAGAAGAGGCAGAACAATTAAGAGAAGGCGATGCGACTACAGAAACAGAGAGAAAATGAGGTATATTTGAAGATGGCGTACAGCTGTCTCGAAAATAGAAGAAACCAAGGAGTGCAGGTGGCTTCTAGAAGCTGGAAAAGGCAGGAAAACAGATTCTCCTGAGAGCCTCCAGAAGATACGCAGCCCTTCCAACACCTTCATTCTAGCCCTGTGAGACTTCTGACCCTCAGAACTGTAAGAAAATCAATAAAAGTTGTTTTAAGCCACTAGGTTTCTGGTAATTTGTTACAGCAGCAATAGAATTTCAACTAGGAATTTATTGCAGTAATCCAGGTAATGATGGAGACTTCTGAACAACAGTGAAAACAGCAAACTCACTGGGTAATTATTAGAGATGTGACCGGAGAAAATTAGTGTTCTGATGTCCAGATCAAAAAGAAATTGCTGTCAAAGAGGGAATGTGACAGATGAGTAATTTACTGCCATAAATCATTTTTTTTCCTTCCACAGTACAATAATGTTACTATAAAGTGGCTGCCTAGAAAGAGACTACATTTCTCTGTTCCCTTGCAAGTAGGGATCATGAGGCTTGTTAGTGCTAATGGAATGTGAACAGAAATGCTGTGTGTCACTTTTTAAAGTCAAATAGCTTAAAAAAGAAAAAACCCAGATGTGCATTCTATAGTCTCCCATTCACCATACACTAGGTAAGTGTAGAAGATTCCAAGGTTCTGAGTGGCAGAGCAGCAGAAAGGTGCAGAGCCACAATTTAAAAGAAGGTCCCCAAATCTCCACATGGAAGGTCATCTGCTGACCGGGAATGCCTACATAGGTCTGTATGATAAGGAAGATATATACACTTCTGGTTTTGTAAGTCATTGATTTTGGGGATTTATTTCATAAAAAAATGATATTGCAACTGGGATATTATTTTAACAGAATCCTAAAATATGTGTCATTGTTGAGTAGATAAAATTGATGTAAGATGTTGGAAAGATGGAGAGCCGTGCTATGCAGTGGCAATAAACTTGAAAAAACTTGGCTGACAATAATAAAGGAGTACTTGCCAAACTTGTAGCTCTAAGTTAGAATGTTTGTGTTAGCTTGTTACTGGCCATATTTAGCAAGTTTTTCGAAGAAAGATGAGCTTAGACATGAATTGACACATGTGCAAGCAAAAGTGAAAGGGAATAGAAAGAATCCAGTTATTTGGGATTTCTCACAATTGGAAAATCTGCATGATTCTAGAACTCAAACATGAATAGATAAAACTGAATAAAATTGAACACAAAAAACCTTTACTTTTCTCAGTTAAACAGAGTGACTACATTTCTCCATTCCCTTGCGAGTAGGGATCATGCGCCTTGTTGCATGAATTCCTACCACAGAGCTGGTTCAATATCTAATCAAGAATAATTTCAACTTTGCCAAGTACCAATGACTATGTATGACTCTCATTCACCCCCTCCATCATTGCATTTCATAATGTCACCAGATAACTAGTTAATAAAGCAAAACTAAAAATTTTTAGAACTTACTGCAGTAAGAGAAAATGCCATCTTGATGGAGGCTTAGCAGTGTCTCAGAAGGGAGAAGTCAGAAGTGGGATATTTACAGGGTTTCAGAGTCTGCGATCAATTGGTTAAAGGCAAGGTCAAGGTGGAGAACCGTTTGAAACAGGGCAAAGTACTGTGTGACATAATAGTTTAGGAATGGCTGATGCAATTGAAAGAAAGGTCTTGAACCAAAGCCTTTATAAGTAAGCTGTTTTTATAAGCGAGCCATTCACCCAAGTAAGCAGACTATTGTGCTTGGGGGAAAAAATGATCTGTGGAAATTTCCTGAGGCAAACTATGAAGTTGTTTCTTGATTTACAGACTTGTCTTTCCTAGTCAAAATTTTGCTGGAACAAGCAACAAATTGTGGTCCACAATATTTATCTAAATAATATTGACATATAAGGCATTAATTCTCACACTTCTAGCTATCCCATTCATGCCCCTCCATGACAGGGGGTCAGAGGTGCCTTTTAAGTCAAATGTTGCCAACTTGGGAGGAGCCACATTCAAGCCTGGTGGAGAGACAGCCTCATGACCTAGAAATCTAGGATTTTGACGGTGTAGTGATTGGAGGAACCATCTTACATAGTGTACTCTTACACGGCTCCTCGGAAAGAAAGCAGTTGTATTGTGTTTAGAAAGATGTTTGCACATGGATATTGGTTGCCCAGTTGGGTGGACATGTAAGAAACACTTCATGATCCACTTACATGGTGGACCATGTAAGATCACTAAAACTATGTGCTTCCCTTCCATTGAAAAGAGTTATCGCTGAGAATCAGCTGCCCATCTAGAGACTACGTTTTTCAGCTTCCTGTGTGACCAGGTGGAGCCTTGTGATAGTTCCCAACAATATGAATGTGATTTGAGTGGAGATGATGTGGGCCACTTTCAGACCTAGAATCTGTAAAATAGGTGTGCATTTTCCATTTTCTCTTTCTCCATCTGGAAGGCAAAAAAAAAAAAAAATGGAAGAAGGTAGATCCTTGAATCCATGCATGGAATGTTGCCTGCAGACCAGACGGGCCCACATTGGTTTGCTACATGTGAAAGAAACAAACTTCTGTTGGGTTAAGTCACTGAGAGTTGGAAGCATATTTAGAATAGCAGATAGCAGTATCCTAGCTAATACATGGGGATATCATAAAATATAAAATGTATAATATGAATTCATAGAGTGACATTTTATACATTAATTGAAAAAGCAATACAAAGACATATTTATGTAACCAAGTTATTTTTTGTAATAACAGAAAAGCATCTATATAAATAGAAGAAACAAGGAAAAATATCCATTAAGTCTTCATTAATAAAAATTTGTGACTATTGTGGCTACTGATAATTTCTATCTTACTATTTATGCTTTTTTGAATTTTCCAAATGCTCTATACTTAATACGAATTACTTCTGATATAAGAAAAATATGAATTTTTAAAAAGTTGTCACTATTAATAACCTTTTTCAGATTTGGGCTTGAAGATGCTCTTTTAAAAAAAGCAACTTTTTAAGTCATTTTTTCCAAATGATAGTGTCCAGTAGGTAACATCATTATAATCTTTATTAGAGCAAAGTTTAAGAAGTGTAAGGGTGAAACAACAGTTTTTCAGACATGAGTGACCTAATACTGTGACTCCTAATTAAGAACCATCATTAGGGCAAGAAATTCGTTCCTGAAAGCATTTGGGATCAGAGAGGAGTTGCTGGTAGTGGTATCTTTCTCCCCTGAGAAATGCTGAAGTGTCATCCAATTCTAACTACCTGTGAAAACTTGCTTCCTATCACCATGGCAGCAGGGCGGATCGTCTTGATTAAAAAGGTTTCTACTCTCAATCCCATGAGGGTAAAATCAGCACTTCCAGACGCGGATGAGTCATTGCTTTTGGCCTCATTAATGTGGTGGAGCTCTTCCGTCTGCTAACAAAAAACATTTAACCAAATGAATAAAATGATGCAGCCAAGCAGTGAGAATTCCAGCAAGCAATTCCAAAGCCTAACTTTGCTTTGGAAGTGGAGAAGGCGAGCTTTTTAGCAAAACAACAAAACAAAACAAAAAATAGCTATAGAAAAATACATTAACCCTTAAATATGCATGTTCTTCAAAGAGCCAAAACTATCTGGTTGTTAGAAGAAAAGATTAATTTAAGTATATACAGTGCATAGAAAACCAAAGCAGTATTCCATTTAGTCTTGTAGAACAAACAACGTTGTTATGATGAAGAGTTCCTGGTAGAATGTGGCCTTTTCAGAAGATAATTGGAGGCAGAGGGGAGGATGTCTTCCTGCTGCTGAAACAGAAGTTGAGTAGACAGGAAATAGAAACCCTAGTGAACAGTTTTGCATGGAGACGAGCCAATTAGGCAGTTGAAAACATTCTGGAAACAACCACGTGGCTTTTGAAACCATGTTTTATTAAGAGAAAGAACATAAAAGAGATTGAGATGGACCAGAAAAAGAAAATGCAACTGTTCAAGTCAAATTTAACTGTGAAAGTAAGGATTCATGATCAAATTTTCCCAGGGTTACACACACACACACACACACACACACACACACACACACACACATATCACTGCACAGAAAATACAGCATTCAAATTAGAATTTTTTTTCTCTCTTTCCCCCCTAACCATACAGGCAGACTTCAGCACAAATAACTAATGAAGCACCATTTTTTTTTTTGTAAAGGTGACACTCTAAAATTTCACAATTTTTAATACAGCGACTGCCAATATTCTTACATGAAGACTCTTGCTCAAGATTCTGGTTCCAAAGAGAGCATCTTTGAAATGGAGCAAGATGACACCTGCATGGTTCTTCAGTGGAAAGGCTCATAACTTGTTAATAAGAGCTACAAAAAGCTAAGAGTATCTTTAGAAAGCAGAGTGAACATATCTTGTTATTTAAAACATTACAATGTAGATCAATTTGGTAATAAGACAGCAAAACAGAAGAAAACACTGAAGCTGAAATACACGGCTACAAGTGAAGCTGGAGAGCAGCTTGGGGTGTCCTGAGGTCAAAGGCATACTGTAGATGAATTACAGCAAGCGAGTCCTCAGTTGCTCTGAGCAAAAGCAGTCATGATTTCTCAGACACAGCCTGGAAGAAATCCAATAAAGTAAACAACACAGATTCAGGGACTCCAGAGACCTCTAACGAAATGGGGTTATTGAAGAGAAAATACCCAAATGTGAATTGTAAACTAAACAAGTGCAGGAAATAAAGAGGCAGTGGCCATGTTTAGTCTGAAATGTGCTGATCAATTGAATTCACATTTCCTAAAACACTCTGATTTTGCTTGGGTTGGATGGATGCTTGATTTTCCACAGAACAGAGCACGGCAGTAGTCAGTAATAAAGGGCACACTAACACGGCAAGATTGATGGCAAAATACTTGTGGAAGTTATAAGATTGTTTTTAAAAAAATCTGTGGTGCATAAGATCTACTAACAGCTGTTGCCCATGGTCCATGCTAAGGACTACTTACTAGTCTTTTTCTGATTTTTCTGGGACATCTACCCTACCTAGGAAATCCAGACAGGTCTCTCTCTCTAGCTCAGCTCAGCAGTGTCTCTCTCTCTCTCTTTCTCTCTCTCTCTCTCACTCTCTCTAATTTTACCTTAAATAAGGGCTTCAGAGAACAATTGTTCAGATTAAATTGTGGATGTTGAGTTTATTTAGTATTCCATCTGTGTAAAGATGAAGGCGAGAAATTCCTTCTCGTTCATGAGATACTAGATTAATAATTATTTAAAATCTTCATTTTACTTATTCAAAAATTGAACTGTATAAGCCCCAAGTAACATAGGACAAAGAATGTGAGACAAGTTTAGATCATCTTTATATTTTTCTTGCTTGGTAAATATCTCATTGGGATAGTATGGATTGGTTAAAACCTGGATTCAAAGATTTGGATAGTCAAGTAGTATTGAATTCCTACGTTGTCAAAGATTGTTCCATAGGGTAGTAAATGAGTAGCAATCAATTCTCATATTTATCCTTTGAGTTTTCCAGGTTCTTTTTTACCAACCCAGGATCATATTCGTCATACTGTGATTAAGATGTGTGAAAACGTGCTTCTCTGAAGTCTCTTGTATCACTTTCCACCAAGGGCCATAAAATGCCACCATTCTGGATGTCTCAGTTTTATGGTTTTTAAAGCAATCCCAGAATCAAAGGATTACAGATAAGGACTCATGATCAGCGTTATCAAGTGGTTAATTCTTCCCCAATATCATCCTCATCCAGGAGTCTTCCAAATTGGATTACCAGGAAGGCAAGAATAAATTAGGGGCACAAAATGTTCATTAGGATCCACACATGTGAAGAAAAGGGGATGAAACAGAACTTGATATAGGAAGAAGCTGAACTGCAGTGGAGTGGCAACAAACCTTGGCTAACCCAATAGGAAGCTCTCAACGGAGTATGGGCCTTCAGAGCGTCCCACAACAACTTGAAATAGCCGGTCTTTAGACTTCTCTGGTCCGTCATGCTATGCGGGCTGCCCTAGAAAGGGCATGGCCTTGATTCTCTGTAGCTGAGGCTGACTTTGAAGAAGCTGACAGCTGTAGGTTTTTGAATATCACACTCACCACAAGCTGAGAGCAAGACTTTGTTTGAAGGAGATTTGGACAGTGCTTCTTCTTTATCAAAGGAGCTTTTAAAATTTCCTTTTAAAAATAGTCCACTCATATGTCCACACAAAAACTTGCAAATGAATGTTTAAAGCAGCATTACATATAATATCCAGAAAGTGGGAACAACCCAAATGTCCATTAACGGATGAGTGAATACATAAAATATGTATCCATACAGTGGAAAAATATTTGGCAATAAAAATAAATGAAATATTGATTGACGCTACCACATGGGTGAACCTTGAAAGCATAATGCTAAATGAAAGAAGCCAGCTACAGAAGACCACATATTGTATGATTCTATTTATATAAATAGCAAGTCTATAGAGAAAGAAAATAGATTAGTGGTGGTTGCTTGCTTAGGACTGGGGTGGGATTGGAGTGGGAAGTGATTGCTATTAAATAAGGGGTTTCTTCTGGGGATGATGAAAATACTCTAAAGTTAGTAGTGATGCACAACCCTGTAAATATACTCAAACCATGGAAATGCGCACTTTAAATGGGTGAATTTTATAGTATGGGAAGCAGACTTCAATAAAGCTTTTTTAAAGTCACCATTAAAGTAAGGTAGGCAATGTGCTTCCTGCTTTCCTCTGAACATGTTCCGCTAATCATCATTATCATGATCATTATCATTGTCAGCAGCATTATCATCATCATTAATATTTATTAGGCCCTTGTACCAGGCACTCAATTAAAATGCATTGTATCCATTATCTTATTCTATAACAACCGACTTTTATTACTCCCATTCCAGATACAACTGAGGTTAGAGAGAATTGGGAAATTTGCCTAGGACTACAGAATGAGTGATATCAAAAGTATCATTTAACCTCTCTGATTTCAGATTTGCTCAAAACTTTAATATCTGTGTTTTAGGAATAGATCAAAATACTGGTGTTAATTTAGTTGCACTGTCCTAAAATTAACCTCAAAATGATGTGATTTTATATTTTACATGCCCTGTCCTCTGTGAAGTTTAAGAGAGTATAAATCTCCTAATTATTCATTTCATTTTTATTTGGACAATTAAGTTTAAATAGATTTCACTACTTCTGGAAACAACACCCCCACTCATAATAAAATCATTATTTACTGGCATCTAGAGAAATCTGAAGGGAATTAGGCAGTGGCACAGAGTGTTTTCTATTGGAAGACATTACATTTTCTTTCCCTTTTTTTTTGTTTTTTTTTGAAACAGTCTCACTATGTTGCCCAGGCTGGAGTGCATGGTGTGATCTTGGCTCACTGCAACCTCTGCCACCTGGGTTCAAGCGATTCTCCTGCCTCAGCCTCTCAAGCAGCTGGAATTACAGGTGCACATCACCATGCCTGGCTAATTTTTGTGTTTTTAGTAGAGACTGGGTTTCACCATATGGGCCAGGTTTGTCTCGAACTCCTGGTCTCAGGTGATCCACCTGCCTCGGCCTCCCAAAGTGCTGGGATTACAGGCATGAGCCACTGTGCCCGGCTGACATTACATTTTCTTTGCATGTTGTTATGATGAATTGCAGAAGACCAAGGCACTGAGAATAGAGTCACGGCAATGTGTGTGGAGTACTGAATTGTCTAAACTTGTAGACCGGTAACTTTTGGTTTGTTTTTATGGACAGTTGCAAACTTCTTGATACATGGTATGGGAGCATTCCTTACACCACAATTTTATCTGACAGAAAGTAAGACTGCCAACAAATGACCTCACGGGACACAGCCTCAAAAAATGTGCCCTGGCCATTTTACTAACAAACAGTACTCACTCAAGCGCAATTTTAACCTGTTGTAGTTTAGAAAAAAATGAGTTCAGAATCCATTGTTGGTGGATGTACTTTACCCTGGAGCAAACTAGTGTCTGAGGAACTGGGAATTTCATCTGGAGAAAGTCATTCCAATGTATACTCCAAGGAGGATTATTTTTAAAATAAAATAACTTTTTGATGATAGAAACAACTTTCTAATGATTTATTAGATAGAAGCAAATACAAATCAATTCAGAGATTTGAAGTTACTGTCACCAAGAAAAAAAAGACAAATTACACATATCATAAATGTAAGAGAGATCCTCACTACTGATCATATGGATATTGAAAGTATAATAAAGGAAAACTATGAACAGCTCTATGCAGGCAACTTTGATAACTTAGAGAAAATGGACCAATTACTTGAAAGACACAAACACCAAAACTCACACAAGGAGAAGTAGAGAACCTGAATAGGCCTATATCTATTACATAAATTGAATCAATAATTAATTACCTCAAAAAAAAAAAAAAAAAAAAGAAAGCACCAGGACCATGGTTTCCCTGAAGAATTCTACCAAACATTTAAAAAAGAAATAATACAAATTCTCCACAATTTCTCCCAGAAAATAGAAGCAGGGTGCACACATTCTGTGAGGCCAGCATTACCTTAACACCAAAACCAGATAAAGACACTTTAAGAAAGGAAAACTATACACCAATATTTCTCAAGACCATAGATGTAAAAATTCTCAAAAAAATCTTAGAAAATTGAATCCAAAAATTATAAAAAGTATTTCTTTAGACACACACACACATATATTCTTGAATATTTATATTTGATATGCTCAATTTTTTCTCTACCTTCTTCAATATATGAAATATAATTGTAATACCTGTTTTGATGTCTTTGCCTGCTAATTCTGTCATTTGTGTCCTCTCCCGATCTGTTTCTTTTATTGGTTTTTCTCCTGTCATGATTCACACCTGATGATTTTTTTTATTGGATGCCCGCCATAGTAAATTTTACCTTATTTGTTGCTGGGCACTTTATACTCCTGTAAATTATTCTTAAATTTTTTTTCTGGGGGCTCCATTAAGCCACTTGCAAACAGTCTGATCTTTTTTGAGACTTGTTTTTAATATCATCAAGTGGGATCGGAGAAGCCTTTAGTCTAGGGCTAATATTCTCCCACTACAGGGACAATACATTTTTGAGTACTGCATCCCATGCCCAGTGAATTACAAGGATTTTTTTCTCTGGCTGGTGAGAGCACAAACTATTCCTGGGCTTGTGTGAGCCCCAGGGATCTCGCCAGTTAATTATCTCAGGTGTATTTTTCCCTAGCCTCACTGATCAGTACTCAGCTGAAGGCTAAAGGAGAATCCTCTGCAAATCTCCACAGCATTCTCCATGCAGTTCTCTTCTCTCTGGCACATTGTCCTATGAATTGTAGCCGCTTTGACCTCCCTGTTCTCCCACCTCTATCTCTTCAACTTGGGTACTTGGCTGAGTAATGCCTGGATTTTACCCGCCTTGTGCTGTAGGCTGGAAATCCTCTGGCCTGTATGCTAGGGCAATTGCCGGGCTCACCTTGATTCTTCCTATCTCTGAGGGATTCACTGTCCTGTGGTGCCTGATAGCCAATGTCTGAAAACCATTGTTTTATAGATTTTGTCTTTTTTGAAGTTATTTCAGGGAGGAGAATAAATCCAGCCCCTCGTACTCCATCTTGGCCAATTTAAATAATTTGGGATGCTTGATTTCTTCCCCACCTCTCCCCTGTCCTCCAAATGCTATAGTCATATTGTCAATTGCTATGTTTGGCGACTGTTTTTCCCTCTCTGTTTCTGTCCAAATCTATTTTTCATCTTTTTCTGTTCATCAATATCTACTTGTCCTTTGTTCTTATTCTAAATTTAATTATCTATTTAACACCCAAATCACTGTTTATAGTCCATCATCAGAAATGTATTGGAGGAGGATGGATTCCAAATGGTCTGTCCCCTGATTGTTAAGAATTTAGGTACATGGTTACATTTCTGATTAGTTACTCTGTACCTCTTTCTTATTTTATCTAGTACAGAAGCTCTTTTTTTTTTCTTTTTTTTTTTTTTGAGACGGAGTTTCTCTGTTGCCAGGCTGGAGTGCAGTGGTGTGGTCTCAGCTCACTGCAACCTCCACCTCCCGGGTTCAAGTGATTCTCTGCCTCAGCTTCCTGAGTAGCTGGGATTACGGGTGCCCACCACCACACCCAGCTATTTTTTTTTTTTCTTAGACATGGGGTTTCACCCTGTTGGCCAGGCTGGTCTTGAACTCCTGACCTCAAGTGATCCACCCATCTCGGCTTCTCAAAGTGCTGGGATTACATGGGTAAGCCACCGTGCCTGGCCCACAGACATTCTTAAAGTGTGATTCAAGAACATCCCGGGGTCCCTGAGACATTTTCAAGGATTGCAAGAGGTTAAAACTATTTTCATTATAATACTAAAACCTTAACTTCCTGTTTCATTCTTATTCCTTCACGAGTGTACAGTGTTTTCCAGAGGCTCTATAATGTGTGGCAAGGCTGGACACGGTGGCTTACACCTGTAATCCCAGCACTTTGAGAGGTCAAGGTGGGTGGATCGCTTGAATCCAGGAGTTCAAGACCAGCCTGGGCAATATGGCAAAACCCCATCTCTACAAAAGATATAAAAATTAGCTGGGTGTGGTGGTGGTGCATGCCTGTAGTCCCAGCTACTTAGGAGGTTGAGGTGAGAGGATCAGTTGAGCTCAAGGAGGTCAAGGTTGCAGAAAGCCATGATTGAGCCACTGCATTCCAGCCTGGGCCACAGAGTGAGACCCTGTCTTAAAAAAAAAAAAAAGTGTTGTGACATCATTCCTCTGAGAGCTAATGGACAATGTGCTTGAATATTTTTGTGTTTGAAAATTTTTTAGTTTTCATTTTTTTAAATGGCAAATATCAATAAATATAACCTACACAGAGAGAAGCTTTATGAGGTTATGAATTACATTTAGGAGTGTAAAGTGGTCCTGGGACGAAATTGAGAAACACTGCTCTAGGTTTCATAAATTCATCCTGTTTCCATTCCAGTTTTTAAATGGACAATGGCTATTCCATTTCTTGGGATTTCTCACTTACAAAATTAGCTGTTAGACTGGATAGCATCTATAAGCTATCCATTTATCTGGGCTTCTGAAAATGAGGCATTTCCTTTTCTTTCTTTCTTTCTCTCTCTTTCTTTCTCTTCTTTCTTCCTTTCTCTTTCGCTTTCCTTCTTTCCTTTTTTCTTTCTCTTTCTTTTCTTTCTTTCTTTCTTTCTTTCTTTCTTCCTTCCTTCTTCCTTCCTTCTTTTCTTTCTCTCTCTCTCTCCTTCCTTTCTTTCTCTTTCTTTCTCTTTCTTTCTTTCTTTCTTTCTTTCTTTCTTTCTTTCTTTCTTTTCTTTCTTTCTTTCTTTCTTTCTTCTTTCTTTCTTTCTCTTTTTCTTCTGCTAGTACCCATATAACAAAAATAACAGCTAAGGTGGGGTTATAAAGAAAAATGGATCCTTTTGCATTCTTGTGTCATTCTCTCTGATCTATACAGTAGTTCTGAAACCGATAATTTAGGCTGAGTAGCTCTATCAGGACTTTCAAACCTAAAAGATACGTAAGAAATGAGTGTGTCGCTCTTAAAGGTCAAAATGAAGAAACAACAACAAAACTAAAACAACAGCCTCAATAGCAAGGCCCATGTATAGGAAGATCTGGGAAGAATGTAATCAGGTATAAAGAACAAGTTGAGGACAGCATCTCAGAACTAAAGCTATGAATAGCAATATTGTTCTGGAATCTCTCTCCTGTGTGGTGCCTTGCACTTGTTGCCAGAGCCAAGCATGCTGGCTTAAAAAAGCTGCAGATGACTGGACAGTACAAAGGACCCTGGACATGAAATGAAGAAACCTGGATTTGTGATAAAATTTCGCCACTAAGTTAGCTTAGGTATGTAATTTTATCTTTCTGGTAATTTCTGCACTATAAATCATAACTGTTTTTGTAAGTTAAAATGGAATGGATGACTCAGTATTTTTGCCTCTGGCAATTTCCCTAAGGAAATAAGTGTCTGTGCAAAAAATTGGCTACAAGAATTACTTAATTGGCTTATTGTTGGTAGCATAAAATAAGAAAATGTACATGTTCAACAATAGGTGATTAAATAAATTGTGTATCATTTAGATAAACAGATTCCAGTGAAGCCACTAGCCATAACAGAAGCATATTTTCTGAAATAAAATTTATTGTTTATTATATGTTGGTAAGTGAAAAAGCAAGTTACAAAAAGGAATGTATAGTATGATCTTGTATTTTTTGTGTTTATGTAATTGGGAGAACAGGATACCCCCTTTTCTGTATGCAGATGAAGAATGATATGAACAAAAGATACTCAGCATTTCAAAATCTCTCTTATAAAATCATCATTAAAAGTATATAGTGCTCCATAGTTTTTCTGGTAAGCTTGAAGGGAAAGTAGAAAAGAAACCAAATACACTAAAAATGAGAGAGGACATTCATGATCATGGGACAGCCAGCAAAGTTTTTTTGTGGATGAGAAACACAATGATGGGATTAACCCAAAAGAGAAATATACTTGAAGTTTCATGTTGCTGAGACCTGGAGCTTCGAAACTCTCACCCCCTTTTTCCCTCACTTCCTTTTCACACTTTCCTGCCAAGTGGCATTATAGCATCAGCGAACGGATCACATTGAGCGAGGCCCAAGATGCTTCTCCAGCCTCGATGTCTCAACCCTGAGAATGGCTCTTGGGGAATGAGTAATAAATCAGATGGTGAAATCTCCCATGGCTAAGTGTGACTTGTTCCAAAAGTAGAGCATGTTTACTTGGATAAGTTTCAAGAAGGAGTTTTGTTGGCTAAAAAGCATGAATCTCTCAGAAGGCAGTGGAGCCAAGTTAGAAACTAGATATGATCCCAAAGTGAAATCTTCCGGGAAAGGGGCTCTCTCCTTCTGGGAACATTGTCTTTATCACAGTGCCTGTAACATAGTGGCTCCTTAATCAATGTTTCCTTTAGTTCTTATCTTCTGCCTGCAAGGAAGTTTTGTTTAATTTTGTTTTTCATCTCTACTTGCTAGCCAAATGACTCTTCGCCATTCTAAAGTGTCTCTTTTTCCATATCTCCTCATATGTACCTACATATACACGTGTGTATACATTGAGTTTTCCATCTTTTAGTAAAATGGGCCGAGTAATTTTCTTATGAACTGAAAGAGGGAAATGCAGGAATGTAAACTTGATTGTCATTTTTTAAATTAGTCCTCTTAGCCCTATGCCTTAGAGGGAGTTCTTTTCTCATGGTGTGAACAACAAAGCATCTACTTCTTTTGCTTGGGGGCAAAAGGGTACTCATGACAAGATTAAAAGAGCAAATAGGAGAGGAAGGGAAATTCTGAAAATTAATGCTTTTATAAGGCTGTGGTGACTAACCAACTCCATCTTCAGTAGAATGTCTCTGAGTCACCTATGATGAGCAATGATATTGACAAAAAGAAGCATTGTACACGTAACACCACCTAATCACAAATTACTTAGCTAAATCCTTCTTCCCACACAACAGCAATTGTTTCTTCAGACCCTGGAGGAACAGGTGCTGTGGGTGAACTAGCTGCTTGTTCTTTTGTTCACTTTGCCAGGCAGAATCAAGTGGGTGGATTGTGAATAAGATCATTGATGTTTACTTGGTTGCTAGTCGCCCCACGCGCTCACTTTCCTATTTTGCTTATTTAAAGTAATAAAACAGAAAAGCAGAACTGAAGAAAATTGATCACTAAATGCGGTTTCAGGTGCTAAGCAGTCTTTTCATTGTTTTTAAAAAAATTTTCATTGAAGTTAGGGCAGGGAGAAGATAATATCATCTAAAGGTGATACAGAGCACTTCTGGCTTAACGTACCCTTCTCCCAACTGGAATTCCTACAAGAACTTTAAACTGAGTGAGACGTTTAGTTTCCTAGTCCCAAATCATTATGTGATGAAAAACTATCCAGCACTGGCTGGGCACATCAGGAAGCTACAGCAAGAGTGAATGCAACAGCGGATGAAGTTTAGAGTTTGAAGAAAATAACAATTTCTTTCTTCATATTTTATTTTTTCACAACTCTCATTATATCCATAGAATAACAACCTTAAAGGGGACAATACAAACATAATTTATTCTGACTTTTCTTGATTCCAATGAGTTCCCAAACTCTTTCTTGAAAAAAGCAACGCAATCCAGTCTCTCTCTGTGTCCACCCTCCCCTGAACACCCATGGTCTAAAAAACAGTAGCTCATACTTAGCTGAGGGTTAGGTTCTTATCAGTCTAAGCCCAATAGTGTGTGGCCTGTGATCCAGTTCTGGGCCAATTGGGCTGCTAGGAAATGTTTCCTTGCTGAGGATGGGTTGGGGAGGTGTGGAGAAGACTTGAGCAAGCGTTCCTCTTCCAGTGGGTGTTGTCCTGTCTGGATGTGACATGAGGAACCAAGTCATGCATTTTGGGAACTCAAGGTCGCTTAACCTGGAGTATAGAGTTTCCTCTCTTGCAAGGGCAGAGCTAAAAAATGGAAAGAACCTGGGTCCTTTTTTTATGTTGTTGAAGTTACTGAAATAAACAGCCAGAGCTGACTCATCTCTCTCTTGTTGAAGTAATGTATTTTCCTTATTATTTAAGGTGTTTGGAATCTAGTTTCTGTTCCTTATGGCTTAAGAAATTCTAAATGTGTGCAATGATGGCTAAAAGTTATTTAGCTACAGTAGAGTTGTTCTTTTCTTTTTCAGTTGATTACGATGTAAGCAATATACAGCTCTTGGAATTACTCTGAGGCAAGTCATATATGTGCTGGGAGCCTCAGGTTTTTCAACTGTAAAGCTAGAGAGCAATTCATTTATTTATTCAGCCACAAATATTTATTAAGCACCTACTATGTTCCAGATACTTCTAGGAGTTGGGAATACATCAGTGAACAAAAGTGATAAAAATCCCTGCTCTCGCTGTGTGTGTAATTTAGGAGAGGAGACAACTGATAAATAACATGAATAAAATGAGGAAAGCAGTATGTTAAATAGTAAGTGCCAAGCAGAAGAAAATCAGGGAAGAAAGATATAAAGTGCCGGTGGGGGAGGGAGTTTGAAATCTTAGGATTATCAGTGAAGGCTTGACTAAGAAAGTGACTTTATTTTGTAACGAAATAAGAAAGTGAAAGAGCCAGCCTCTTGCCTCTTGCCTTTCTGAGGAAGAGTATTTCTAGCACAGTAAACAGCAAGTGTAAAGGTCACGAGACGGGAGCATCGCTGGCACATTCACAGAAGAGGAAGGGGAGAAAGTCATGGGGAGAAGAGCATCAGGCAGAACTCACTTTGTCTCTTTGAGTGAAAGCAGAAACTATCAGATGATTTTTAGCAGAGAAGTGACATGCTTTGACATATTTTAACAAGTTTATTCTGGCTGCTGCATTGAGAATAGACAAAGAGCAGAAGCCAAGAAACTGTTAGGAGGATATTTCAGTAATATAGATAACAGGATGATGATTTGATTCAAGAGAGGTAGCAGACAGTATTGTGAGAAGTGGTCACATTCTGATTATGTTTTGAAGGAATTTCAAATAGAAAGAGAGGAATTAAGAATGATACCAAGATTTCTGGTCTGATCAGTGGAAGAATTGAGTTATCCATCCTTGAGATATGGAAAGAGTTATAAGAAAGGGTTTTGGTACAGACTATCAGGTGTTCAGTTTATGACATGTTAATTTGGCATGCCTAGTAGATGTATAATGTAGATTTCCAATAGGCAGCTGAATATATATGTTTGGAGTTTAGGGGAGTGATCTAAGCTGGAGAGATATGTTTAAGAATCATTAATATAATTTGAAGCCATTGAGATTAGATGCAATTACCCTGGGAGAGAATGAAGATGAGTTCCAAATTTAAAAGTCAAGCTGGGCATGGTGGCATGTGCTATAGTCCCAGCTACTCAGGAAGCTGAGGTAGAAAGGTCACTGGAGCCCAGTTCAAGGCTAGCCTAAGCAACACAGCAAGACCTTGTCTCAAAAACAGACAGAAAAAAAAATAATGAAAACAAAAAGTCTTCCAAATGTAAAAGTCAGGTTGATGAAAAAGGACCAGTCAGAGACTGGGAAGGAGCATCTATAAAGCTGGGAGGAAAATCAGGCAAATGTATTGTTTGAATGACAAAAGAAGAATGTTTAAAGATTGAGACAATGAACAACTCTGTCAAATGCTGCTGAGAGATGAAGTAAAAATGAGGACAGAAAATGGATCCTTGATTTAACAACATGGTAGTCATTGGTGACTTAGAGAACTGTTCTGTGGAGTGGTAAAGGTAACTGGAGTGGGTTTAAGAGAGAATGGGAGGAGAGAAATTTCAGACAGCAGTTTAGGCAAGGCTCTCAAGGAATCTGGCTATAAAGAAATGGGGCACTGGTGGATACAACTAGTATGGAGGAAATTATTTATAATGACAAGGCAAGGTGAAGAGAGTTGCTAGAGCAATACTTGTGAGCAGAGGTGGTGGCCTTTGTTAGGTGCATGACCTATTTACAAACAGTAATAAAAGAGATAGCAGGGTGCATACACAGAGATGCAGAGATTACTTCATTTCTTGCAGTGAAATAAGCAGCAAGGTCCTCACCTGAGTGAGAATAGGGGAAGAAATATTGGAGGTGGGAAAAGTAAATGAAGTCTGAAATAGTTGACAGAAGACTGGAAGAGAGAATGGATTAGGGACATATGATTTTTGGGCAGCCTCTGGGGCTTACCTGAGGCAGGTCAATGGCCATGAATATATAACAAGACCTGTCAGCATAGGTGCACGTTTTTCCAGCTACATTCAGCCTTAGGATTATGAGCATGGCCCAAGCAGATAAGAGGATGTATCCATGGTTGTGAGTTTCCAAGAGTGTGAGAAAGTCCAAGGAGCAAGTGAGTTAGGTTCTACTAGCCTTGTAAAGAGCTAACTTAGATTAAGCCCAGACTACATTATGTGCTAGCAATTGAGTTAGGCCATAGTGCAAACCATTATATCCCAAAGCAGTTTCTAAACATCTGGTTATAGATAGAAAGTTACTATAATTTGTATAAGTATTTCACAATTTGTCCTGGTCCTGCCTAGAGACTCAGCAATAAAAATTACCCAACAGTTCTTGGCCATTGAAGACTTTGAAACTAGGACAAAATAAACTCATTTTACTGTAAAATAGCTGCAGATCTTCCTTTAAGAAATTAAATAGTACCATAGAAACACTTTGTGCTTTTTTTTTTTTTTTGTAGACCTTGATTTTCTTCTTAAAACAAAGTAAAAATAATGACAAGCATTTTAGTAGCAGGGGCCCAGCAGAAGACAGCTGCCTAAGTAGCATGGTTTTAGGGATGCTGAGAACAATCCCTCTACAAACCAATGCCCATACCTGTTCACTGGGGCCTGAGGTGCCAACAGAGGTGCCCTTTGGCTTTAAGAAAGGGGTCAAAGCTGGCTGGGCGCAATGGCTCACGCCTGTAATCCCAGCACTTGGGAGGTCAAGCAGGTGGATCACTTGAGCTCAGGAGTTCGAGACCAGCCTGGCCATGTCTCTAATAAAAATACAAAAATTAGCTGGGTGTGGTGGCATGCACCTGTAATCCCAGCTACTCAGGAGGCTGAGGCATGAGGCTTGAACCCGGGATGAGGCTGCACTGAGCCAAGTTCGTGCCACTGCACTCCAGCCTGGTGACAGAGTGAGACTGTCAAAAAAAAAAAAAAAAAAAAAAGAAAAGAAAAAAAGAAAGAGATCAAAGTCTTCAGTGTCCACAGGAGCCAGCAGCAAACTCATGGGGCAGATGTGAAGTATGTGTGTGCCTGGTGGGGATAGGGGAGTGCCTGCTCCCTTCTGAAACAGGCAGCAGCTTCTCTGACTGCTGCTGTAGTGAACACAGAACCAGTGGGGCAGACCTTACACTTTTTCAAATTAATTAAGCCAGAAATCTTGACTTTTACATGACATATCCAATTTTTAAATGTTGGTGACATTTAAAAAAACATAAAAACACTTTTTACGGACAAACAAGAATTTTTTTTTTCTGTTGTAAAGCAGCAAAAGCCTAAATGCAAATCCTTCTGGAGTACAATTACTGCTTAATCTGTTATCAACTTTTCCTACTCCAGTCTGCAGGAGAACATTCTAGCTCTCTTCTGAGAATTGGTTTTGTCTGAGAGAAAAGCAGGAATGCTGTAAATGCTTCCTGCTGCTTTCTCAGGTTAGGGTGGTTTATGACAGCTGTTGTTCAGTTCATGGACACATGGTCTAGTACGCTGATCTTCATTGTAATCTTTTTGTACATTCTCACCTTTAAAAAATCTGATAAAAAGACCACAGAGCCATGAAAGGTTCATAGAAGTCAGTAGAATTTTATTCAATGAAATCACTCGAAAGCTGTGTCATCTATGTTTACCCTTAAATTATAATTTTTTACATAAAAATTCAAAATTTGGGTGAAGATTAATATTCCTTGAAAATTTCCTTAGAATATACTGATTTGCTACTACATTTCATTTTTCCTACATTCAGCTAGATGACCACTTCATTTGGTGTCTCTCAGCCTTCTGCTGAGACATTTGAGTCCGAGTATATCCTCAGCATTAACAGTAAACCTACATAAAGAGGGCAGCCCAACAGCAAAACAAGAGTTGTATACCCTCGTGAGCAAAGAATAATAACAATAGGAATATTAATGTCAGTGATCAGAATAGTTATACTGCTACCATTTAATTTCTATCAAATATCATTCTAGTCACTCTGTACCCATTAATCCTCACAATATCTTTATTAAGTTGGTATGTTTATTCTCATTTTACAAATATGGAAACTGAGGGTCAGAGGGAAGAGGTAACTTGCTCAGAGCATCAAGACAGTGGTGAGAGAACCCATCATTAAAACAAGGACTATCTGGGTACCCCTTGAGGCTTCTGTTATCAAAAGGGCTTGGCCTCAATTCAACAACTATTTATCAATGATATCTCCATTCCTGGCCTTGGTTTGGGTTTAGGAATGCAATGATGAATACACAGTTCTTGCCCATGGAGACATTATACTGCAGTAGAGGAGACACAAATAGAAATATATTTTCAAAACAATGTGGTTGACAGGAGAGGTAAATACAATCTATTATGTAGGTTTTGAGAGGGAAGGCAAGCCCAGAATAGGGCCTAGGAAGGTTTGCTGTGGAGCATGATGCTGTACACTGAATCTTAGGAAAAAGTAAGAAGTCGGGAAAAGAAGTAGGGGAAGAGACTATTTATTCTAGGTAAGAAACATAAACAACATGAACAGCATAAACAGGCATGTGAGCAAGTGTGATGTTTTTAGCAAATCAAAAGAAGCTGAGCATCCATGTATGCTCAAGTTCAAGCTGGGGAGTAGCAGGAGCTGGGGTGCTTGCCTGTATCCCAGAAATGATAACATCAAAGTGTTACAAGGACAGGTTCGTATTAAAAAAAAAAAAAAAAAGCAGCCATGTGAAGGCTGGATTGGAGGGTACAGTTTAGAGAAGCTTTTAGGAGTCTTAGTTGTTAACTATATTGTTCTCAGCAACATTTTCCCAGAAGAGACCATTGTTTTGCTCACAGAGAACAATTAACTTGCCATTCTCACCAAGTGCAAATTGTTATGTACTAAATGAGACCAGAGTAGGACACACTGCCCTTGACACTGGCCAGCACTATGCAGGCATACATACAGTACCTCTTCTGAAGAAATAAAGATGGACGCACTGTCAGCAGAAATCACAAATTTATTAACTCTTAAATATATCAATCAGTCCTTTACCATTATGGCAAGAAATATATACAGTGTCCCATGGTAAACTGCAGTGTTTCAAAATGATAGAAGATAATAAATGTGTAATTCATTTGTGGTGGAGAGAACAAATCACAATTTCCTCACATCTTAGTGCGGAAGACAAACTTGATCTACAGTAATACTTCAACACCACATGCTAAGTTAAAAGTGTAAAAAAAACACTCTACATCTATTTTTTTTTCTTTAAATACATGTATGCCACGTATAGCTGCTTCACAAAAGGGTAAAAGAAATTAAAAAGAGAAAAATGAGGCCATTATTTTTTCACAGATCTCATTGGCAGGTTAACATGGCTCAATATATTTACTGTATATATTTATTTTAAATATATATGTTGTTTTAAATTGTGTAATAATTATCAGAAAAGCTTCAACCCATCTACCATACATCCACTAGCAATAATATCTAAGATGATTAGTAATCAACACAGAGAGGTGAGATGAGAGAAAAGAGGAAGGGTTGTTTTTGTTATTTTGTTTTTCTTTTTTGCTTCTGCTTTAAAAATAGGCTTCTGAGGACTGTGAATTACTATCGTTAAAATAACAATGATGGAGATTCCATGCACTGTAAAGCACTTCAGGGAAGAGAACAAAAATCACAGGAATTGAATCAACAAAGGAAAAATGAGAAGCACAAAGAAAACCTAGGACATTTCCCTTTTTGTTTTAAACTGGGAAATTCTAACTCCTTGGAGGAAGACAATGATACTCTGATTCAAGAGAGAAGCTAAAAAAGCACAAGTCACAAAGATCAAGTTCAAAACACTTATGAGAATGGCAAACATTTGTAAGCCTCTCTAACACTAGAAAACTAGCTAGTGATGATGCAGAAGTGACCCTTTCATTCCCCAAGGCGGAGGTGAGTGCGTTTGCATAAAACCCCCTCTGCTATCAAGTTGGTATCCTCCTGGCAACTGTCCCAATCAGTAAGACGTTGCAGTCACAGGAGGAACTTGCTTTTATCCTAACTTTAAACAATGCAAATACCTCCAACATAGTTAGGATACCTAAGTCCAAACTAGAGCTTAAGCAGAATTATAAACCTTTAAAATCTTGACAACATTTTTGTGGGCCCTGAAGATGATCAAAAGTGCTAGTATAGCTACCTTCAAAAGACTTTTATTTCCCTTTTACATTCATTATGCAAATTTCACTTCTATTCTTTTCTCACACACTACTAGCCAGCCTCCCCAAAAAAGGAAAAGGGAAAAAAGTAAGAAAAGAATGGAACAAAAGAAAAATAAGAAAGCAAACGAAAGGAACAAAGAAACAGGATAAAGAAAAGAGATCACAGATTTGAGAAAGAAAAACAATTCAATTCAGCAAATTCACCAAAACAATGTGAATATATCCTAAAGTGATTAAACTCAGAAATGATGTGAATTTTTCCAGTTTACACAGTTTGACCAAAAACAGCATGGCTTTATGTGGTAGCAAACCAACTGATTCTTGCTTCTACTTTCATAAGTGATTTTGCCCACATATCATCCCACTTTAATTGTTAATCAGCAAAACTTTCAATGAAAAATCATCCATTTTAACCAGGATCACACCAGGAAACTGAAGGTGTATTTTTTTTTTACCTTAAAAAAAAAAAAAAAAACCAAACAAACCAAAACAGATTAACAGCAAAGAGTTCTAAAAAATTTACATTTCTCTTACAACTGTCATTCAGAGAACAATAGTTCTTAAGTCTGTTAAATCTTGGCATTAACAGAGAAACTTGATGAAGAGTTGTACTTGGAATATTGTGGATTTTTTTTTTTGTCTAATCTCCCCCTATTGTTTTGCCAACAGTAATTTAAGTTTGTGTGGAACATCCCCGTAGTTGAAGTGTAAACAATGTATAGGAAGGAATATATGATAAGATGATGCATCACATATGCATTACATGTAGGACCTTCACAACTTCATGCACTCAGAAACATGCATGAAGAGGAGGAGAGGACGGCCCAGGGTCACCATCCAGGTGCCTTGAGAACAGAGAATGCAGAAGTGGCACTGTTGAAATTTAGCTGAAAGGAGAAAGGGGGAGGAAGAAATAAATTATATTGTTTTACAAAATATCATCAAATTGCTTTGCCATAGATTTGACTAGGCTACAGTTTTATAACTTGGCTAACAAATAGATTGAAAACACTATGTATAAGAGATGTTTGCTTGTGATCATTACAAGAAGAAACATACAATGTTACACAAAGAGAGTATTAAATTAGAAGATCAGTATTAATTATTTTTTCACACAAAGCTAAGCTAAAAATAAAGAGACAGAGACACAGTCTTCAGTCACATTATTAAATCTAAGTATACATCTTAAGCATTCCTGTTTACTGGACAAATTAGTAAATGAATATAATCCTTTTGTTGAAATAGACTTAAAATTCAAGTTCATCCTTAGCTTCTGTTATTATTGTTAGATTCCTTGGGAAATGAAACCTAGAAGTCAATTTAACAAGGAATATAGTCTCGAAAGTAGAGAGAACATGATTACTCTCTTTAATTGGAGATCTCCTTTGCTGAAAGCAACAGCTGGGAGCACTATTTGTTAAAAGCTCTGATAAGGTTTAGTTCTCTGAATGAGGCAAATATTCACAACAGCACCATACATATCTGAATGCTTGTAACCCAAGTCTAAGAAACAATTAATTAAAAACAACAACAAAAGCATGAAGTTAATTACAGTCAACTTTCAATTATCCTCTGGAATTACCCATTTTGTGAGTTTTAAATTTCAGCTTGACTTCCTCCTGTGGCCTGTCCTCATGGTCAAGTACCATTATACTCAGTCAGGCACAGCAAATTGATTTACACATTCGCCATAGCCAGCTGCTTACAGAACTGCAACCTCTTGAAAGAATGGTTAAGACACCAAAGGATTCTAAAGCTTAATATAAATTAAGTCCGGATAATTGAGAGTTATCTGAACTGACCCAGACATAATTTACTTTTGATGTGAAAACTTCAGGATTCTAACATGACACAATCCACATGTTGGAAAAAATTCTTTTCAGTGTTTATTACCTTTAAAATAAGGATTATGCTACCAAATAGGGCTGAATGTTAGATTCAAAAGCTCATGCAAAATTGCTATGAATTTTCAAAGACCTTGTGCGTTTTTCATTGAATATTATGCAATAAAAAATATCCTCAAAAGGAAGGAAAACAGCCATGCAGCTTTTCATTCAGCTCCAGTCACAAAGTATCACGGAGCAGGATGTTACTTACAAGACCCATATGTGAATGGTTTTCAGGCCTTAGATGTTTTGCCACAAAGAGGTGCCTCCTGAGAAGTTTTCTTTCCCATTTGGAATACAGGGTGGCCTATTAAGAGAAGCCCCATTTAAGCCACCTGGCATAAAATGAAGTTTTCTTGAATAGGCTTCATCCCATAAACACTTCAGGGAACTGCAAAAAAACCTAAACCCCTGGTACTGTATGAATGTAACCCCTTCTATATTAACTGGCGATTTGTGCTGTACCTCTTTGGGGTGAAAAACACACAAAAACGGGTGTCTTCATTATCTTCATATTCCTCTTGTGTTTTTCTCTTAATTACATAGCTATGGTTTTGGGAATAAATTTCAGCCTATTGTTTGGTTTGGTTTGATTTTTGTCCCTGTTGACCCACTTTTTACAAATCTAACAGTGATATATAATTATTAAGGCTATACAGAAGGCCTCTGAAAACCACTGTGGTATGCTACCAAACTAAGAAATCATGATGGATTCTCTGGAGTGAGTTGAATGGCTGTTTGTATGAACCCCCATTCCAAATCTCAAATATTAACAGGTGATCCTGGTGAGAGAATTTGGAAAGAGATCAACAGTGGACCCAACTTCTACACTGAGTTTAAACTCTTCTTGTTTTCATCTCACTCCACTTTACCAATAAGCCTATTTTCAATTATTCCTCTTTAGTTGTAACCGGCCTTCCTTACCAATAATGTTCTATCATATTAAACTAAATCCTGATATTGTACTTTTCTTCATGATGCTCATTTAGCTTGGACTATCCATCCTCCTTTGCTTTTTCAGTCTATGTCTCTAAATTCTACTCATCATTTAAGATTTTGTCCAAAATTCTATCTTATATACAAAGTGTACTTCCAAACTGTTATAAACAGTTTACTACACTGTTCATTAACTCTACTGTATTCTGAAGTTGATGATAAACTTTATTATATCATTTTTTTCTTTAGAATCAATGATTGGCTAAATGAGAATACATGTTTCTTGAAAGCAATATCTTGTACTTTGTGTTGAATCTGGCACAGATTAAGCACCTAGGTGATTCACAATAAATATGTGCCTAATCGCTGACTGGAAAAGCAAATGATATCTGAGGTAGAGTGGTGAGGTGAGAATGACATTGCACTACCTGACAATGGCCTTTTAAATGCTGTCTCTCTAACTGAGCTTTAGGGGATCATCTATGAAATGAAACTCCTGATAATATATTGGCCATTTTAGAAACTCCTCCCTATGTTTTCCTCTGATATCCCCTTCTTCTGTCAATTGAGAAGATGAAGTCACAAATATTTTGCCTTATTATACAAGTCCTCTAGATTTAACCCTGTGAGATTTTGATCACGTAGTCTCTCGTCCTGTCTAAACCTATCATATACTGCTCTATAGCAAGTTTCAACCCACAAATGGCTGATCTGATTGATCTTTCCAGAGAATCATAAACCTTTCCCGTGAAGGCATTTATTTTCATCAGTGTAACCAACTACTAGCGTTAAATAACATATACCATGCTATTAACAATGGAATAAGTAGAAGGAGCTGACCATGGGTGTATTAACAAAGAAGCTGACAGCCTGGAAATATTTACTTGATGGGTACTGTTGGTGACCCCGAGCGATGAAAATGAACATTCTGCCACTTTCCATCCCGGCGGTGCCACACACGAGTCTCTTCTGACTGCATTGTCTTTGGCATTCCACTGCCATCCATGTACTGTGTGAGCCTAATATATGCTATGCAGGCGGCATCATCCCCTACCAGATGTACATGAGGGTTTAGAATAATAGTGTGGATTGGTTTATTGCTTTTGGACAAAGCTGAAAGAGAAAAACATGAAAAGCAAAATTTAGTTTCTATGTAAAGGAAACTAAAACCAGTAATAACTTCAGTTAGGACCAATGAATGAAATGACATTTATTCACTCACTAATTAATTAGTTAATTAATCTACTATTTGTACTAATTGGGTACTGGGCACTGTACAAAGCAAAAAAAGAATGAAAGTGGATACAGTCTTTATTTTATCTGGTTTCCTTTACAGGCATTTATATGCTCTCTGGAAATTTTGATTGGGTGAAAAAGCTGGAGAGATATATTTATTTACAATGGAAAGTGGTTAGAAACAGAAATCACAACATGAATAGAAGTGAAGAAGGCCTGGCCCAGGTGTGCCAAGCACTGCCCCTGTCTTTTCCAGGAATGAACTGCTGGGACAGCTGACCAGGGATCTTGTGGTGGTGGTTGTTTTTGTTAGTTGGTGAAGTATGTGGGAGAAGGGAAATATATCAAGTTTCAGGTATAGACATCACTGTCTTCAAAATAAGGCTGGTGGTAGCCTTTGAACAAGCCTATGAACTTGTTTCTCATCTCATTCTCTGACTCCTCCACATACTAGAGTCCATTCCATGATAGTCCACTGTGATCATCTGATAAACATTCAAAATGTGGTGTTGGCACATAGCCTGATTCTGGTCTTCCAGCTCTTTCCCTTGACTGAGTAGCCCTCACTATGCTCCAGCCTCTGGTTTTGACAGTAGTTACCAATTCTAATTATTCAGTCACCAAGAGATACGAGGAGGATTTAGTGCACATCACTTATTGATGCTGTTTCTTTCTTAGATCACTAGAAAAGGTTGAATTGTTTTTGGCTATTATCCAAACATGCTTTCCATTCTCAGAAAACATCTATTCAAATTATATAAAATATTATTATAGTCACCTAAATACCCCATTATGAAGGAATTATATTTATGGAACATGATATATAGTGTTATACTGAAATAGGTTAAAATATTAATGAGTTAATTCTTTCATTAGGGATCAGATGGTGTCGATAGAGAGTTAGTTGGAGGAAACATGAGATGCTATCAGAACACTGGAATATAGGGAATATGATAACATTTACTGAAATTTTGTTAAAGAGAATTTATCAAATAGTTCTTTTTGTTTATTTGTTTGTAAATGTCTAATGCATATAAGAAAAAGTAACTCATCCAACACATCTTAATTCGAAAATCCATGCCAAGGCAGACATTCTTATCAAAGCTTATAATTACTGAAAGTGATGTGATTATCCTAATCATTCCTATAATACATTTCTTTTTTAATTCAATAAGATCTCTGCAAAAATAGTAAATTCCCTTAATGCAAGATGCAAACACAGCATAATGTCTAATGTCATTAGGTGTAAGGAAAAAGAGAAGGATAAAGGGAATTCCTGGTTTACATTTTTCTTGATGACCTGAAGGATTTCTGCAGGATGAACTTCTTTTGTCACCTTCTTTGAAAAGTGGCTGTTTCCTCTGAAACTACCACAAGTCTTAAAATTTGAATTGAAAGATTTATCTGATTACTCACCTTCATTTTCATTTTACTTTGAAAATAAGCATCACATATGCTTGAAAGCACTCTTCTATGTTAAATATTTTGGCATGGTGTGGTTTTTAAAAATTTTTTCCTCCTATTTTTTCTTTTTCTTATTTTTAAAATTTGAGACAGGGTCTCGTTCTGTCACCCAGGCAGGAGTCCAGTGGCATGATTATAGCTCACTGCAGCCTCAATCTCCTGGGCTCAAAGTGATCTCTCATCTCAGCTTCCCAAGTAGCTGGGACTATAGGTGCTTGTCATCATGACTGGTTAATTTTTATATTCTTTGTAGAGATGGGGTCTCACTATGTTGCTCATACTGGTCTTGAATTTCTGGCCTTAAACTATCGCTATCCTGCCACCTCAGCTTCCTAAAGTGTTGGGATTACTGGCATGAGCCAGCGTGCCTGCCTAATTTTTTTATATATAGTTTTATGAAAATGTGAAATAACATTTTTTGTAACTGCTTTATAGCTTATATTATACATTAACTGCAACTTGCTTGAAGTGTATTCAATCAACATTACTTTTTTTTTTTTTTTTTGAGATGGAGTTTCACTCTTGTTGCCCAGGCTTGCGATCTTGGCTCACTGCAACTTCCACCTCACGGGTTCAAGCAATTCTCATACCTCAGCCTCCCAAGTAGCTGGGATTACAGGTGTGCGCCACCATGCCCAGCTAATTTTGTATTTTTAGTAGAGATGAGCCTTTACCATGTTGGTCAGGCTGGTCTCAAACTCCTGACCTCAAGTGATCCACCCGCCTCGGCCCCCAAAGCACTGGGATTACAGGCATGAGCCACAGTGCCCAGTCAACATTAATTTTTTTACAAAGATATTTTTTAAAACACACCAAAACTGTAAGCCAAGCCTGACATATTTTTTTTTCAATTTTGAATACAAAACCATTGTATGGTTTCAAATGCTGGATGAAGGTAAAAACTCTCATTGTAGAAAAGAGCAAAATAATCTGCAAATTTGGGAAAATTCAGAGAGGTTTAAAAAGGGCATGTTATTAAATTAGGAATAAATGTACCATTTTCAAAGTAGAATCGGTGAAAATCCATCCCTTCCACTAAATTACCCAAAGCTTCAGGTTCAAAAGCAGTAAGGCCTGGGTCACAGATTTTTCTGTAAAAGAAAAATAATGAAAACAACCAATTAATAGGTGCTTTAATGTGTTTTGTTGTTTCATGTGTAAACATTCTGATTTACCAGTCACTGAAGGAAAGAGCCTCTAAAAACACTTACATACAAAAGTTCTATCATAAACCTTGGCAAGGTGGGTTGAGGAGCAGACTCTTAAAAAGACATTTTGCAGAGAACTCTGATAGGAACAAACTAATTTATCCAGTTCAAGCAGATGATAATACACAATATTTTAGGAGGCCCCTTTTTATAATTTCTACTTTTTTATTTTTAAGGTGAATTTTCCAGTTTTTCTAACTCTTGATTGAGGTTTACTATTTTTTAAAAATGCTCTCCAAGTCCTATTGTCCAAGTGTAAGACACTCTCCAAATCCTATAAAACTATCTTTGATTCTGAAATTAAATACTTCTGCAATAATAATAATAATAATTATTATTATTTTTGAGACAGGGTCTTGCTCCATTGCCCAGGCTGGAGTGTATTGGTGCAATCATGGCTCACTGCAGCCTCAACCTTCCAGACTCAAGCAATCCTCCCGGCTTAGCCTCCCTAGTAGCTGGGAGTATTGGCGTACAGTACCATGCTGGGTTAATTTTTAAATTTTTATTTCTAGTAGAGATGGGGTTTCCTTATGTTGCCCAGGCTCGTCTCGGACTCTAGGCACAAGTGATCCTCCCACCTGACCTCCCAAAGTATGGGATTACAGGGGTGATCCACCATGCTTAGCCTTGGAATAATTTTTGATGGACCACATATCCTACATTCATGTCAAACATGTATATTACAATTGACTTGAAAGAAAGTATCACACCCTACACTTCCTGGCAATGTCCACAAGACTTACATCTTATTATTGTGTTTAAGTTTATTTTATTTTTAAAATGAAATCAACAGAAGGTTCAAATGCTCATATTGGTTTTCTTTCTTAATCCTAGAAATATGATTCAATAAAGGGGTGCACAATTTTAAATATTTGGAAAAAACCAATGAGCTTTCTTTGGAGAAATTTATTTATTCAGTAAAGAATTGCTGAACACTTACTATGTGGCAGATATTCTTCAAAACAAGCAATTATACAATAATCAATACTAGAATAGATGAACAGGAAAGGTTTAAGAGAGGAAGAAAATTTGAGCTGGGCTTTGAAGAATGAGTAAGAGTTTTCCAGGTGTGTGGGAGGTGGTGGGCAGGGGGAGGACAGCAAGTGCAATGGTCTGCTGCTGTGAAAATGCAGAGTATGCTTGGGGAATGATGACTGGTTGCTTGATATGGAAAGCAGGGTCACTGTGTTATGTGTGTAAGGCCCCTGGAAATGCAGAGAAGAAAATATTTCCTTTGGGCCTATGGTGATCAGGGTAGGCTTCTCAGAGAAGGTGACAAGACCTGGATTTGAAGAATGAATGGGAGTTCACAAGGTAGATCAAATGGAGTACAAATCAAAGGATTTTGGACTGTTTATTAATTTGCCCCAAAGGGTAATACAGTGGATGGGGCCACATCTAATTTCATAGAGAAATTCCCCATTTGGGTGGAGGGGGAGCAAAATTTTTTAAATGTTCAACAGAAATACAAATTTCAAAAGTCTAACTCACTGTAGTTCCTCAAAGTGCAGTACTGTTTATAGAACGTGGAACCGGTGTTATTTAAAGAATACCTTTAAAAAGTAGAAATCACAGTGGATATCCTTTGTGCCTTAAAGATGATGGGGGCAAGGATTACAGTAACCTTCACTTCAGATTGCCTGCTGGGCAGGCATTTTTAAGCTTAAAATCAAATATATATAGTCTCTTTCTAAGAAGCAAAATGGGAAGAACAGCGTTCCTATGGTAACAAGAATTTATTCTGCCAGGGGCTATTACTTCCTCTATAAATATGGTTTTTGGTTGTCATTATCAGTGAACCAAAATTTCTTACTGCCTTACATCAGTACTAACATAATCTGGGAATCACTGTGCCATGATGGATCTTCTTACCCAGCCATGAAAAAGAGTCAGTATATTTGGAAATGTGTGTGTGTGTGTGTGTGTGTGTGTGTCTGTCTGTCTGTCTGTCTGTCTGTCTGTCTGTCTGTCTGTCTGTCTATCTATCTATCTATCTATCTATCTATCTAATCATCCATCTACCCCATAAAAGGCTTTGTATTAATGAAAGATCCACAAAGCTGCCATTTGACATGTGGGTGTGTGTGATCTGAACAGGTGTTCTAAGGACCAGCTGACAGGGATCCACCAGTACATTCTACCATCCCAAAAGCTCTCGAATGGAAGCCCTGTTGGATTAGCTCTGGCTGGAAAGTACAAAATCAGGCCAGATTATAAGTCTCCATAGGCAAAGATATTAGTGAACTGGTATGATCCCAAGGTTTAGCATTATTTAAAATACCCTATTTTAAACTGAGAATATAGGAAACATACACTTTTGCCTGGCTACAATTGCTCCCTATATAACAGTAGTATCTGTTTATAAATTTAGAAAGAATATAAAAGAAGCAGGAAAAAAATTCATACACAATTTTACCTCTCAGAGGCAACTTCTTTTTAACAATAACAAACACAACTTTTTATCATTCCACAAGGAAATGCTATTGCAAAAAAAAAAGATTTTTTAAAAAAGAGAATAATCTTATTCTTTGGATAATCATATGTATCTAACAAGGATATAACAGCAACAAGAATTTTTAAAAAGCAGGTTCTATGGCACAGCTATAAACAATTGTTTAATAGGGAACGGTTGTCTCTGAAAACAGACTTCTTCTTAACTCCAATTTTTACTATTTCTTTTATTCCAAGTATGTCTTATTAGGTCATGATAAAGAATGGATACACTCATACATAAGTATATGCATGTGTTTATACATATATGCACACATATTTAAGTTATAAGAAGAAGCTCCTGATATAGTTTGTCTTACATTTAGCTAATCTCGTCCATATTTTATATTTTGTGTTTATTTATAACTAATGATAAAAGTAATACTTGCTTATGTAAAATTTGGGAAGAATAAAAAAGCAGGAAAAAAATTCACACATAATTTTACCTCTCAGAGGCAACTTCTTTTTTTCTTTTTAAAATCTAATTTGGCATGTTTCATTCCACTTTTAATACTTTTTATTTATTTATTTGTTTATTTTTTGAGAAAGAGTTTCACTCTTGTTGCCCAGGCTGGAGTGCAATGGTGCGATCTCAGCTCACCGCAACCTCTGCCTCCTGGGTTCAAGTGATTCTCCTGCCTCAGCCTCCCAAGTAGCTGGGATTACAGGCATGGACCACCACACCTGGCTAATTTTGTACTTTTAGTAGAGATGGGGTTTCTCCATGCTGGTCAGGCTGGTCTTGAACTTCCAACCTCAGGTGATCTGCCTGCCTTGGCCTCCCAAAGCGCTAGGATTACAGGCGTGAGACATCGCACCTGGCACTTTTAATACCTTTTACTTTTTTAGTTGTAATAATTATGTACATAGTCTTTTAAGTCCTGCTTAATTTTCAGTAAAAACATCATAAATATTTTTCCAGGTCGCTAGAAACTCAACATAACCATTGTACCAAAGATGATTTAATGGGAATGGTACTGTTGGGCATATACATTGTTTCCAATTTTTCACTATTATGAATTTTGCTTCAGTATATATCTTTGTTCACAAATTTTTGTTCATGTTTTACATAAAAAATTTATACTTGTTAAATTCTTATAAGTAGAATTATAGTATTACAGTAAAGTGAGACTTTATAAAAGCTTTCAGGTATATAATAACAGATTATACAACAAAATATATTACTAATCCCCCCATATCTGCCACCACCACCACCCTGAAAGTTTGCACCCAATTGTGTTTTATTCCATGGTGGAGGAAAGTCACCATTGTCCTGCAGTATCTGCACCTTGCTGGCTATCAGCAGAATTTACATCTCTGCTGACTTTATAGGGAGAAGAGGCTCTTGCATTCAAGTTTGTGTATACTTAATTAGTAAACATGAATATGCCTTTACTAGTTTACTTGTCATTTATATTTCCTCCTCTGATAATAGTCAGTTCATGTTCTTTACCTATTTTTCTACTTTTCAATCATATTCACGCAATATAAAAAATTAAATTTTGATATATGTTTTGCAAATGTTTTTCTAAGTTTGTCTCTTTTATTCTTGGTTTTTTAATTAAAGTATACACGTTTTATCTATTTAGGTATAATCATATTATGTTCTCATTTATGATTATATCTTCAGCTTTTGGATCTTTCTAGCCAGAGATCAGATTCAATCTCCGTTTTGCATTTTAAGTCTTTCACTGGGGTGGAACTCATTAGTTGCATGGTGTAAGGAGAAGGCCCTATTTAAATTGAATGCTTTATTTTAACTTCAGCAAAGTAATTTCCTTCATAGTTCCTATGATCCAGGAGTTTATAAACTTTAAATAAGCATTAAAACCCATTCTTCAAGTAAAGTTTTCCTTAAGATACAAACATATAAAAGAGATGCAGATAAAGTTGAGCTGTACTGGCTGAAGAGAGAAGGCTGCCTCATGTCACCTCCTAATCTCTTTCTCTGCCCCAGAACCTCTGCAGAACTGCAAGGGAAAACATTTCTTAAGCTGAAATGCACATTTTATGTACTTTCATATTTTTTTGTGTGTTTGCTCACATGAATTGCTCTGCCTGGACTGACCTTTTCTCATCTGGACTTCTGTATGTGTGATGTGGGAGTGGTTATACATCTGTATATTTACAAAGAAATCTCCAATCGTTGGATCAGAAGTCAAGCCTTCTCTCTGTGAAATCTTTTTTCTTTTCTTTTTTGAGACAGGGTCTCACTCTGTCACCCAGGCTGGAGTGCAGTGATGTGACCATGGCTCCATGCAGCCTCGACCTCCTGGGCTTAGGTGATCCTCCTGCCTCAGCCTCCCAAGTATGTGGGACTACAGGTGTGCACCACTATGCCTGACTAATTTTTAAACTTTTTGTAGAAACGGGGTCTTGTTTTGTCACCCAGGTTGGTCTTGAACTCTTGGCCTCAAGCAGTCTTCCCACCTTGGCCTTCCAAAGTGCAAGGATTACAGGTGTGAGCCACTGTGCCTGGCCTCTGAAATCTTTTCTCTGAAATTTTCTCTGAAATTTTTCTCTCCTAGGGGCACTTAGTCATTTATGAAATAAAACTATTGTTAACATATCAAACCTTGAATTAAATATATGTGAATTCAGACATGTTGAATAATGCATTCATATAAAAAATATATTTACCATATGCATGAAAGCAAAGTAAACGTCCGCTACTCACGTGTAGGCTTCAAAGTCCCCATTGTTGATAGCTTCGATCAGTTGTTCAGTGACTTTGATAATCTCTTGCTTTCGTGCTAAAGGCAAAAATATGGAGTTGGGTAAGAATAAAAGACAAAAGTCATATTAAATATTCTTTTTCATTTTTAATTTTTGAGATAGGGTCTCACTCTGTCACCCATGCTGGAGTACAGTAGCGCAATCACAGCTCCCTACAGCCTTGACCTCCTGGGCTCAAGTGATCCTCCCACCTCTGCCTCCCAAAGTGCTGGGATTACAGGTGTGATCTGTGCCCTGCCAGAATCTGCATTTTAACATGACTCTCAGGTGACCTCTGAGTACATTCATGTTTGGAAAGCACTGCTATTTTCCATTTGTTTGAAAACAACAGTCACCTGAAAGGTCGGTCAAGGCTATGTTTTTTAAAATTAGTTTTTACTAAGGCTGGGCAAAGTGGCTCATGCCTGTAATCCCAGCACTTTGGGAGGCCGAGGTGGGCGGATCACCTGAGGTCAGGAGTTCAAGACCAGCCTGACCCACACGGAGAAACTTCATCTCTACTGAAAAAAAAATACAAAATTAGCCGGGCTTGGTGGCGCATGCCTATAATCCCAGCTACTTGGGAAGGCTGTGGCAAGAGAATTGCTTGAACCTGGGAGGTGGAGGTTGCAGTGAGCCGAGATCACGCCACTGCACTCCAGCCTGGGCAACAAGAGCAAAACTCCGTCTCAAAAATAAATAAATAAATAAATAAATAAATATAAAATAAAATAAAATAAAATTAGTTTTTACTACCTTAACTTGATTGGATTAGTAAACATATTTCTCTTCATAGTTAACAAGTGTTATTAAAAACAATCTTAAAAAGTATCATTCTAATAATATGTCTATCTTCAGAGTAAAGATGATATCTTGCATTGAGATATTGAACTTTATATAATTATTTGCATTTTCTCACTTTTCTGCTTGACAAACTCTACAAAAGGATGCCGACACTGTGACTGGCCTTTGTTTTTAGACAAATGGCCTTTAGTAAACTCTACAAATTGAAGAAGTGACATATGAATCAATACTGTAGATGTAGGCAGATAATAAGATGAAAGCCTCCAGGTATAGCTGTCAAACCCAACACCAATCATGATTTGTTTCTATTCCTAGCCCATAATTGGTGAAATTATTAATAGTGGTTTGGCTCAAATCCTATCTATTCAGTGAATTTGTTTCTACTGACATCTGCCTCAAGTGTTCTTTCTCTTTTTTGAAAGCCTGCAGCATCTGTATCACTCGGCAATTATGCATATGCTATCT